>NC_000017.11:1854747-2006262 GCF_000001405.40 Homo sapiens | reverse complement strand
TTGCTTGAACCTGGGAGGCGGAGGTTACAGTGAGCCGAGATTGTGCCATTGCACTCCAGCCTGGGCCACAGAGCAAGGCTCTGTTGCCAAAAAAAAAAAAAAAATTGCAAACCTCCCCCAAATATGACATTCCTAATTCCCCTTAGCCTACCTATTAAAAGAAAAGAGGCCGGGGTGGTGGCTCACGCCTGTAATCCCAGCACTTTAGGAGTCCAAGGCGGGTGGATCATGAGGTCAAGAGATCGAGACCATCCTGGCTAATCCAGTGAAATCCCGTCTTTACTAAAAAATACAAAAAATAAGGCGGGCGTGGCGGCATGCACCGGTGGTCCCAGGTACTCGGGAGGCTGAGGCAGGAGAATCGCTGGAACCCGGGTGGCGGAGGTTGCAGTGAACCGAGATTGCGCCACTGCACTCCAGCCTGGGCGACACGGCGAGACTCTGTGTCAAAAAAAAAAAAAGGAAGAAAGAAAAATAAAAGAAAAAAGAAAGAGAAGGAGAGAGAGAGAGAGAGAGAGAGAGAAAGAGAGAGAGAGATGGTCTTGCTCTGGTGTCCAGGCTGGAGTGCAACAGTGCAATCCCAGCTCACTGCAGCCTCCACCTCCCGGGCTCAGGCGATCCTCCCACCTCAGCCTCCTGAGTACTTGGAACCACAGGAGTACGCCACCACACCAGCCATGAGCCCTGTGGCCTCTCTGGATGTACCAGTGACTGTCCTTTCTCAATGGAAGCTTCCTCCTCATCAGAGGAAAGGGCTTGGTAGGGAGGGCCTAATTGCAAAGGTCAGTGGCCAAGCCCTTCACCTCTGAGTGGAGTGATTAAACCAGAGCCAGGTTGAAATCTGGGAATTACCTTTTTTCTCCAGACTTGAGTTCATCTGTAAAATGGGCCTAATAACAGTGCCTATCTTTAGAGTTGTGAAGATTAAAGAAGACAATGCTTATAAAGCTCTTGGTGGCCGGATGTGGTGGCTCATACCTGTAATCCCAGCACTTTGGGAAGCCGAGGCAGGAGGATCACTTGAGCCCAGGAGTTTGAGAACAGCGTGGACAACATAGTGAGACCACATCTCCACAAAACGTGAAAAACATTAGCCAAATGTGGTGGTGTGCACCCGTAGTCCCAGCCACTGGAGAGGCTGAGGTAGGAGGATTGCTTGAGCCCAGGAGGTCGAGGCTACAGTGAGCTAAGATCGTGCCACTGCACTCTAACCTCGGCAACAGAGCCAGACCCTGCCTCAAAAATAAACAAATAAATAAAAATTTAAAAAGCTCTTGGCACTATATTGTGGCCTGACCCAGAACAGGAGCTCAATGAACGCCGCCATTCCTACTGCTAGCAGCGGTGGTAACTTCCTTCCAGGCATGCTCCATGTGCCGGCCTTAGCTACAGCCCACATCTCACTGCCCTTTGGAGTTTTGCCTCTCTGCCTCCAGAGCTGTGTGAGTGATCAGGACAGACACATGCCAGCCCTGGCCAGGGGCAGGAAACTCAAGACCAGCAGGGACAGGTCACGTAGGGTGGAGGGGGCCACCCTGTTTGCCAAGGACTATCCTTGCTCTGTCCTGAACCCTCTGCCCTCTCTGCCCAGGGCCAGGGAGAAGTCCCCTAAGGCGGTGCAGGCGGAGCTGCGGGAAGCATTTTAAAGTGGTTTCCATTCGCTTGGAAAAGTGAGATAAGGGTGAAGGCCTCCCCAGAACACTGGTGCATCATCCAAGAACTGCCAGTCCACAGCCTTGAACTCCAGGCGGCCACTTCTTCCTTGTCTCTGAAACAGGGTCCCCCGACTGGAAAAGAAAGCCCCGCCTCAGCCCAGTGCCTCTGCCTCCTGGCCCGCAAAATAGACACTGCTTCTTTGTTTTGTTTTTTGCTTTTTTTTTTTTTTTTTTTTTTTTGAGACAGAGTCTCGCTCTGTTGCCCAGGCTGGAGTGCAGTGGCGCGATCTCGGCTCACTCCAAGTTCCGCCTCCCAGGTTCACATCATTCTCCTGCCTCAGCCTCCCGAGTAGCTAGGACTACAGGCGCCCGCCACCACACCCGGCTAATTTTTTGTATTTTTAGTAGAGACGGGGTTTCACCGTGTTAGCCAGGATGGTCTTGATCTGTTGACCTCGTGATCCACCCGCCTCGGCCTCCCAAAGTGCTGGGATTACAGGCGTGAGCCACCGCGCCCGGCCTGCTTTTTGTTTTTTTGAGACAGGGTCTCACTCTGTTGCCCAGGCTGGAGTGCAGTGGTGCGACCTCGGCTCACTGCAACCTCCGCCTCCAGGGTTCAAGTGATTCTCCTGCCTCAGCCTCCCGAGTAGCTGGGATTACAGGCACCTGCCAACAAGCCCAGCTAAGTTTTGTATTTTTAGTAAAGACCAGGTTTCGCCATGTTGGCCAGGCTGGTCTCGAACTCCTAACCTCAAGTGATCTGCCCGCCTCAGACTCCCAAAGCTCTGGGTTTACAGGCATGAGCCACCGCGCCCGGCCAAGACACTGCTTCTTGCTTGGTTCCTCTCGAAGTTAATGCTGGTCTGCTCGGGTTTTCCTGCTGCTTCCGTAGATTGCGCCAAGCAGACACGGGCCGGGGCCCTGGGGCCAGGCAGGCGGGACTTGGGCTCCTGCTTTGCCATTTACCAGGTGCCTGACCCTGGGCAGATGCTTTAAATCCTTCTGGCCTCAGTTTTGTCATCTGAAAAGTGGGGTTAATGCCATCTGCCTTCTGGGGCTTTGAGAGTTTGTGACAAAGTGGATGTAGCGTGCCTTCTTGTGGCAGAGCAAGGCCTCCCGGAGCCGCTGCTGCTGTTCCTCCTGCATCACTGTCCTCTATCACTGCAGCCATGGACGAGGCCTCTCGGTGGCAGGCTCTGGGGGGACTCTGGGCACCCAAATGAAAATGCCACAGTCCTCTTCTCGGTGGGCTTGCCTCCCTGGCCTTTCTCCTCACCGTAGATCCCTCTTGCCTTCCCTGTTTTAGGAGCCATAACAAAAGAGTCTGTGGGTGTCACCCGCCCGTCTGCCAGCCTGCAGGATCAGGTATCGGAGGCCTTCAGGACTCTCGTAGGCTGCCTTGGCATCTCTGCACCACACTTATGCCTGGCCCCCATTCGGCAGGCAGATCCAATCCCTGGGAGGATAAGGGTGTGTTCTGGAAGCTGGCAGTGCCCCCTGGTGAAGCCCTCAGAAGCCTGGGGCGAGAGCTGTCACCTCCCCCACAGAGAAAGCTGGAATCGATTCCTCTCTCACCACTCCCTTGGAAAGAACAGCAACACAAGGGAAGGCCTGTTATTGGTGGAGGGTTTGTCCTGAGAGAGCAGCAGGTACATAAAAAAATAGCTGGGGCAACACGCCGGCCTCGGACCCAGCCTGTGCAGCCCAAAACGGGGGCACAGATCCGTCCCGCCCCACCCTTGCTGCTGAGTTGGGTCTGGGCCCCTCCTGGTAGCCGGGGTATGGAGGACCCTGGCTGCTGCCCCTGCCTCCTCGCCGGGACCTGACTTTCCCTCTGCCCCCCACTGGGAACTGGCCAGAGTGTTTTTACTAACAAGCTAGCCATGTCACAATCTCAACAGAGAGAGACGGGCGTGGGGAGGAAGAGAGAGGGAGACAGAGACAGAGAAAAGAAAGGAAGGAAGGAAGGGAGGGAGGGAGGAGGGAAGAGACAGAGAGAGGAAATAAAGAAAGACAGGCCGGGCGCGGTGGCTCACGCCTGTAATCCCAGCACTTTGGGAGGCCGAGGTGGGCGGATCACGAGGTCAGGAGATTGAGACCATCCTGGCTAACACGGTGAAACCCCATCTGTACTAAAAATACAAAAAATTAGCCAGGCGAGGTGGCGGGCGCCTGTAGTCCCAGCTACTCGGGAGGCTGAGGCAGGAGAATGGCGTGAACCCGGGAGGCGGAGCTTGCAGTGAGCCGAGATCGCGCCACTGCACTCCAGCCTGGGCGACAGAGCAAGACTCCGTCTCAAAAAAAAAATTAAAATTAAAAATTAAAAAAAAGAGAAAGAGAGAAAGAAAAAAGAAAGGAGGGAGGGAGGGAAGGAAGGAAGAAAGGGAAAGAAAGAGAAAGAAGGAAGGAAGGAAGACAGTCCTTGCAGAAATACCGCTGCAGTGTCTGCCAGGACCTAAGATCTCGTACTATCTATTTTTTAATAATTGAGGGTAATAAATATGTATTTCTTTCTCCTCATCATCCCCCAACCTCCGATGCTTGTCAGCTCCCTGCGTCTCTCCTCTGATCAGACCAAGTCTTCCCCAAGCAAAAAAAAAAAATCCTTTAAGCAAAAAGGATTAAAACCTTGAAAGTAGGTCTGCCTGAGCTCCCCCCACTCCCTCCCCTCCCCTCCCCCAGGGCTGAAGTGAAGAGGCCCCTCAGGGGAGCCGGGGACGGGGGGAGCTGATGCTGCAAACCCCAAGTGGGGACCTTAGCAGGGGAGAATCCCGCAGTCACCCCTTCCCGCAGCCCATCGAGTCCTGGGGGAGGCAGCCTAGCCCGGCCCAGCTCTCCACTGGCCATTGAGGAGGGGCTGCTCGAGAACAAGGCTGCCCTAGTCCCCAGCAGTACAGGACATAGGAAGGAGGCCTTTGGTCTCAGAAAGACCCAGTTCTACCTTGCAGCATGGCTCTGTGCTTTAGGGGCCTGTGTGACCTTGGAACAAGCACTTGAGTCTCAGTTTCTTCATCTGGAAAATGGGAATATAAATAGTGCCTACCTTACAGAGGATCAAATAAGGCCGGGCGCGGTGGCTCATGCCTGTAATCCCAGCACTTTGGGAGGCCGAGGCGGGCGGATCACGAGGTCAGGAAATCGAGACCATCCTGGCTAACATGGTGAAACCCCGTCTCTACTAAAAGTACGAAAAGAAATTAGCAGGGCATGGTGACGGGCGCCTGTAGTCCCAGCTACTCGGGAGGCTGAGGCAGGAGAATGGTGTGAACCCGGAGGCGGAGCTTGCAGTGAGCCCAGATCACACCACTGCACTCCAGCCTGGGCAACAGAGTGAGACTCCATCTCAAAAAAAAACCCAGAGGATCAAATAAGCTAAACATAGTCCAGTGTCTGGCACATGGAAAATACAAAGTAAATGAAAGGCCAGGCGTGGTGGCTCACACCTGTAATCCCAGCACTTTGGGAGGCTGAGAGGGGAGGATGACTTGAACCCAGGAGTTCAATGCCAGCCTGGGCAACATAGTGAGACCCCATCACTACAAAAAAAAAAAAAGTAAATGAAAAACATTATTATTGTTATCTTTATCAAGTGATTCTCAGACACAGAGGGCAGCCTGTCACGTCTCCTATTCCATGACCCTCCACAGCTCACAAAGGCCTGCGAGCCACAGCTGTTTCCATGCAGTATTCCCACCATCCCTCCAAGAGGGGCTGAAGGTGAGGCTGGGTGGCATGATTTGGAGCCTTGCCCAAGGCTGCTGGACCCGTAGGTAATAGAACCAGAACCCTGCCAGCTGCAGTGGCGCACCCCTGTAATCCCCGTACTTCGGGAGGCTGAGCTGGGCGGATCACCTGAGGTCAGGAGTTCAAGACCAGCCTGGCCAACATGGCGAAACCCCATCTCTACTAAAAATACAAAAATTAGCCAGACGTGGTGGCACGCCCCTGTAATCCCAGCTACTCAGGAGGCTGAGGCAGGAGAATGACTTGAACCTGGGAGACGGAGGTGAGCCGAGATCGCACCATTGCACACCAGCCTGGGCAAGAAAAGCGAAAATCAGTCTCAAAATAAATAAATAAATAAATAAAATACTAAAATTAGCTGGACATGGTGGCATGTGCTTGTAATCCCAGTTACTCGGGAGGCTGAGACTTGAGAATCGCTAGAACCCAGGAGGTGGAGGTAGCACCGAGACCATGCCGCTGCACTCCAGCCTGGGCGGCAGAGAGAGACTCCATCTTAAACAAACAAACAAACAAAAACTGGAACCCAAAGTAGGACTTTGTGTCCCTTCCCTGCCTCCCGTCCTGACATTCCTTCCTCTGCCCCATCCTGCTTCCTAACAAGGCACCCAATATCCTTGGCTCTGGGCTCCAGGAGCCAACCCAGGAAGCAAACTAGGAAAGGCCTGGCCGGGCTGGGTAGGGACACCTGGGGCAGCGGTGGCTGCTACTTGGCAGACACGCCTTCTCCCTGACACAGCTGTCAGCCTTTGCAGTTCTGCTGAGGCAGCAGCCCTGGCCCAGGCAGGCTTCCCTCCCTCTGTGCTGGGTACATGCACACAGGGCTGGCTGCAGATGGCCGGCCTGTGCCCCTGCACCCATCCAGGCCCAGGGACCCTGGCCTGCCCAGTGGTCAGCACTTGGCCACCTGGCCTCCAGGGCCCCACTGCCTGCCCCCCTGGGGACAGGCCTGCCCCAGCTGCTCTGGGCCCTAGACAGGAGAGGAGAGGCGAGAAGAGGCAAGGCCGTGAGGCCGGAGGGCAGGAAAAGCCGGGAGGGAGGTGGCTATTTATAGCCAGCTTTGCTTTTGTTCCTTTTCCAGCAATGCCTCTCTTTAAATAGGAGCAGGGCTGGAGGCTGCAGCTCTTCCCCAGCCGCCTGCAGTCAGCACGCAAGAGTGTGTGTGCCTGTGCGTGTGTGTGTGGGGGGGGCATGTATAGGGAGTGGGCACTGCAGTGTGTATTTGTGCATGTGTGCAGGGACAGGAAGAAGAGGCTGGATGTTCTGTGTACGTGTGTGCTTGTGTGTACACCGACATGTACAGGGTGGCAGTGGGTGAACAGCTCTTTGTGTATGGGTGTTGGGAGCTGCATGTGCACATACGTGGATAGGGATGGGGCAGTTCATGTGTGTGTGTGTGTGTGTGTTTTATTTTTTTCGAGACGGAGTCTTGCTCTGTTGCTCAGGCTGGAGTGCAGTGGCGCGATCTCGGTTCACTGCAATCTCCTCCTCCCGGGTTCAAGTGATTCTCCTGCCTCAGCCTCCCGAGTAGCTGGGATCACAGGCGCGCGCCACCACGCCCGGCTAATTTTTGTATTCTTGGTAGAGACGGGGTTTCACCATGTTGGCCAGGATGGTCTCCAACTCTTGATCTCGTGATCCGCCCGCCTCCGCCTCCCAAAGTGCTGAGATTACAGCCGTGAGCCACCGCGCCCGGCCGGTGTGTGTGTGTGTGTGTGTGTATGATGAGCACACATTCAGTGCAGCGTGTGTGTGTGTGTGTGTGTGTGATCGCGCATGTGTCTGGTGTAGACTGGCGTGAGCAGCTCTCTGGGGCGAGTGAACATCGCTGTAAGGGGCTGTGGAGTGGTCCCCGCCCTGTGTGTGAGAGGATGGCATCGTGCAGGGAAGGGGGAGCAGCTCTTCAGTTGTGCACAGCCGACTGGAACCCTCGGTGAGGGCAGGGCCTGTGTCTGTTCTGCGCGTGGGATGAGCGCGTAGAGAATAAAGGGGCTCCGGGGTCGTCTTCGGCTGCCGGGAAAGTGCGTCAAACCCGCGTCCCCAGCGTTTTTAGGGCCCTCGCAGAGCCCCACCCCCACCCCCACCCCGGGGTCCCCGTGCGCGCGAGGCCGCCCCTGTCCCCGTCTGTGCTGCGAGGCCCGTGAGGGGAGCGGGGCCCGGGCGCTCCGGCAGCGCCAGCTTGGGCAGGAAAGCGCCGCGGCGACCTCGGAGGCCACATCCCGGCGAGCCCAGGAGGAGGCGAGCCGGCCCCACGTCCCCCACCCTCCGCCTCAGCGTTCACGTCTGTAAAGTGGGGGCAGGAAAGCCGCCGGGGATCCGGCAGGGACCTGCGCGCTGGGCAGCGGTGGCCGGCCCGGGGGCAGCCGCGGGGAGGGGAGGCCCGACCCGAGCGGGGCGCGTGGGGTGCGCAGATCCCCGGCCGGCGGCTCCCGCGAGAGGGAACGGATCCCAGCGCGGCCGCGGCTCCCCGCGCGGTAACCCCGATCTCTCAGCGCGGGCCCCCGGCTCTAGAGCGAGAAGACCCTCCCGGGCGGGGCCGGTGCCCAAAGGGCGCGCTCGGCTCGGGTCGGCCTGCGGGAGGCCTTGGGGCGCCGGGTCTGGGCACCGCCCTCGCCCTGCAGCTCCGGATCAATGCGACAGCCCTCCCCGCCCCTCCCCCAAAGGCCAAACAAAACATAGTAAATATTTAATCCGGGCCAGGGAGCCAAGGAGGCCTCCCCGCCCCCTCCGCCGCCGTCTGGCTCCCCTGCCAGCCCCGGCAGCTCTCCCTCGGTAATGAGGCCGGGAGAGGCCGGGATCGATCGCGGCCTGGGGCGGAGGCGGGGGTGGGGGTGGGGCGCCCGGCACCCTGAGGGGGACATCGCTGCCCGCCCCCAGGCCCCAGACCCAGGAGCCCAACCGAAGGCACCTGCGCCCACGCTTTCCCCAGAAGGCCTGCGAGGAGCGCGCCGGCCCCTGCCGGCCTGCCCTTGTCACCTCCCTTCTCAGAGGGCGTCAGCTGGGGTCGGGGGTCTGCGGGGATGCAGGCCCGAGTAGGAGGGCTGTGAAGGGGGCGGGGACCTCCCAGCCCCGGCTCAGGCCTGACCTCCGAGTCCTAGTGGTTTAAAGCCAGCAGGGGCTTGGATGAGGCCTGGGTGGGGCAGGGGCAGCTAGGGGTGCCCTAGAGGGAGGCTGGCGAGGTGTTCCTGTACCTTGGAGTAGGATACCTTAGTGTGCTGGTGGTGCTCCCGATTTCCTGGGCATTGCCTGGGGAATACCTAGAGGGGACGGTGACATCCTCACTGCTCATTCATGCAGTGGTTTATGATTGAGCACCTACTATGGGCCAGTCATACTTGTCGACTACCAGACAGACAAGTTCAGACCTGCAGAGGGATCGCATTCCAGAGAGCGACAGTTAATAAGTAAACACATGCGATGATTTCAGATCGTGGTTGGACTCAGTGTAGAGAATAAAACTGTTAATGTGATATTGTACTTGGCCGGGAGAGGAGCCACATCAGCTGGGCTGGTCCTGGAGCTGGCTGAGGACGATGGGTTGGGGAAAAAGCATCCCAGACAAAGTCTGTAGGAAGTGCAAAGGCCCAGAGGCAGGAAATAATTTGCGAGGAAGGCCAGTGAGGTTGATTGTCGTGAGTGAAGAAGCAGGTAGTGAGCGGCAGATCCCTGAAGGTCTCGTGGGCCACGGAGGAGTTTGGATTTTGTTCTAAGTGCAGTGTGAATGCATTAGAGGTTTTAAGCAAAGGAATGACATGATCTGATTTACATTTTTAAAAGCCTCTGCTGGCTGCAGTGTGGAGAATGGAAGATAGTTAAGGGGGAAGGCGGGGAGGCCAGGTTGGTTGCGGGGGATGGTGCAGTGGTGTACACAAGGGTGGCTGGTCCCCTGCCTGGCTTGGGTTATGACTGAAGTGGCCATTTACACATCTGCAGCTGGCAGGGCCCCCAGCAACCAGGAATAGCCTGCTCCTGGGTTCTTTGTGCACAGAGTCCCAGCTGGCCTGGGCAGAGGCTGGGGTGGCCCCCGTCCTGTCTCCGAGACCCAGACTCCACAGTGGGCAGCCCAGGAAGGTTTTTTTTAGGAGCATTAGAAAATGTTGACATGTTTTTTGAAACAATTTCAGATCTGATATCTCCGCCAGATTGAGTTTGTAACCAGCTTTATTGTTTAAGCCTGCTGGGATTTCATCAAAGGCGTCTGCTGTTTACCCAGAACCATTTCATTGGAGAAAACAGCAAACAGACCTGCATTTCTATCTGATTTCACTTTTTCCCTTTTCTCATGAATTTAAGAGCTTGTGAAAAGCAAGGCTGATAAGGCAAGGCAGCGAGGATCACATCCGGAAGAGGGGGGTCACAAGGATCTCAGCTGAGGTTTATTAATAGAGCAGAAAAAAGTTGGGGGTAGCTGGCCGCTTCTCAGGGGGAGGGCAGCAGCCAGCCCTCTGCAGGGGGACCTTGGGCCGGGGGGGAGGGGAGGTGGGGAGAGCTGCTGTTCACCCGTACTCTGCCCAAGATTTTTAGGTCATCTCCTGGTGTCTGTTGTCTTTACCAGTTTCTGGACTATTTCAGACACTGGCAGTGATAAAAGACTGAACATCAGCTCTCACCTGGAAAGCAGCAGTGACCTGGCCTCAGAGATGGGTTCAATGAGACAGATTCAAGCTTTCCTGGGAGAAAGCCGAGTAAGGAAACACATCAAAAGGCACATGGAAGGCAGATGATGAGAGTACCGGGAAAATTGCCTTCCTGCTCCTCCCCTGCCAACACTTGGGATTCAGTCCCTTCTCCTGCCAGGCAGCCTGAGCCAGGGCAGGGCAGGGCCCAGGGATGCTTGTCACAGGCTCAGCACGCCCTCACCTCGCCAAGGAACCTACACCAGTGTTATCGCCACCCGCCTAACAGCATCCAGGTGCCTCTAAGCGGGCCTGTTGACCCAGCAAATATGAGCCCAACAGGGGAGACGCTGGCTCTGCAGCCTCTCAGGAGAAGGCGGTCTGAGAAATTTGGGTTAATATGCCTTGTTCCGTGCTTGAGCGACAGCTAGTTAAGTGCATGGGTTGCTCGGCACATAGGCCATCTCTCACCAGTTGCACATTAGACCCACTTATAAAGTCAATCGATTCGAACCAATTAGCAAGAAGATAAGGACTTGTTTACCTTTGATGGTAGATCTTGCAGCGAGCCATCTGAGGGGGATGATAATGATCCAGGGGTATTTCTTCAGCACGCAGTGCCAGGCAGAACCATGTTGTTCTACGCCTTCTGGCAGGTGGGACTTCCGGCGACAGTGAGAGTCAGCTCCCTCATCTGGGGTATGAGCCTGTAAGGACGAGGAGAGTGAGCAAAGGACAAAGGTCTTTCCAGAGCCAAGCTTAGGCCCTCCTGGCTGTAGAGGTTCCCCTGCCATGCCTATCTTTTTTTTTTTTTTTTTTTTGAGACAGAGTTTCACTCTTGTCACCCAGGCTGTAGTGCAATGGCGCAATCTCGGCTCACTGCAACCTCCGCCTCCCGAGTTTAAGTGATTTTCCTGCCTCAGCTTCCCGAGTAGCTGGGGTTACAGGCACCTACCACCATGCCCGGCTAATTTTTGTATTTTTAGTAGAGACGGTGTTTCACCATGTTGGCCAGGCCGGTCTCAAACTCCTGTCCTCAGGTGATCCACCCGCCTTGGCCTCCCTTGGCCTCCCAAAGTGCTGGGATTACAGGTGTGAGCCCCTGCACTCGGCCCCATGCCTACCTTTTGCAGTGAGAGCTCAGTGGGCTGCTGGGGCCTGAGAGGCTCATTCCATCACTGTGGGCTCTGAGCATGGTCCCAGGGCCCCTGTAAGCACAGGGGAACCACATGCTCCAGACACAGGGCCTTGGGAGTATTTCTGGCCATCTGTTGACAGCCTCTGTCATCTCATTTCATGATTTTTTTTTTTTTTTAGAGATGGGGTCTTACTATGTTGGCCAGGTTGGTCTTGAACTCCTGGCTTCAAGCAGTCCTCCCACCTCGGCTTCCCAAAGTACTGGGATTATATGCAGGTATGAGCCACTGCACCTGGCCGTCATTTAATCTTTATAAGCCTCCTTTTTAACCACCTTTCCCCCAACGCAAGCGTGTATTATCCCCTTTCCTAGAGAAGGAAACTGAGGCTTGGAGGTGGGAGGCAGCAGAGCCTGCTTGTGTTGACCGAGGTCACCGGGCCTGTCAGTGGCGGAGCTGGGATTGGAATCCAGGCCTGGCTGACTCCAGCATCTTCACTCAGACTCATTGTCCTCTGCCTTCTGTGAAGTTAGGTAGTGGCAGGACCTTCTCCCAAATTGTGGGTTTGATAAGCTCGCAAGCTGGTGGGAAGGGGATGGAGCAGGCCCCTTGGCATTTTCTGACCTGAGAATTGAGAATATCAGGGGATGAGGCCGAGGATATTCAGGACTTGGGCAGTACTCGCCCTGCTTTTGCCCGAGGAGGGACCAAGTGTGTCCCTGGCTGGGAGAGCTGGTAGGTCCTCTGTAACACGGTGGGCTCAGCACAGGGGAGACATGGCTGTGCCCCCAAGGCATCTAGTTGCTGGCCCCCTGTCCCTGGACTCCCTCCTCACTATCCCCATAAGGGATGGAGTGAAAGCCGCTTTGTCCTCCCCAGCTCTTGCCCATCACTTCCCCCTCAAGCTCCCAGCGCCTGTGAATTCCACCTGGGCACACTCTTCTCAGAGGCAGCAAAATGAGATCTTACTCCAGAGACTGGGGAAAGCAATCCACAGATTGGGACCCGGAGCGGCGAGGTTCGAGTGCACGTGTCCTGAGGAACGGGGTGGTTCAGCGTAGCCGGGGGTGGGGACTGGGGGGCTTTGTTTTTCTACCAGTTCTGCTGTGCTTGCTTAAAACTTGATGAGTTCTTCTTGGGAAATTGCTTCAGATTTCACAGCATTTTCCTCTTAATAGCCTTGGCAGTGGTGAATCCTTGACCTTTGAGGGTGGGTTTGATTTTTTGGAAAAGGCCAAAAGTAATTTGAAGCTGTGTGTTGTGAATACAGGGGCTGAGCAATTTGCAGAATGTGATTTGTTTTTGTTATCGGAATTTTTTTTTTTTTTGAGATTCAAAACGCGATGGCACCCTAACCAACTGAGCCAGTTTTCTCACGAGGAAGTTCCAGAATTGTTTCAAGTAATGGCAGTGCTTTGCAATGGGGGACTTGGGTTCAAAGATGACCACTCTGATGGAAGGGTAGGGGAAGGGAACGGATGCTTTATTGAACCGTTACTATGTGCCAGACACTTTACATATATTATCTCAACTGCCGAAATAAGTTTAAGAATAAAGCAGGTCTGTAAAAACAAAACAAAACAAAAAACTCATAAATAATCCATTATTTTGCTTACTCCTCACAGTAATCCTGTTAGAACAAGTGCTTAGCCCATTTCACAGGTGATGAAACTAAGGCTCAAGGAAGTTAAATGACTTCCCCAGGACACATGCTTAGAAGTGTCAGGGCCAGGATTTGAACCCAGGTCTGACTGGCCCCAGAGTCAAGGCTAATTCTTCTAATTCTTTTTTGGGTGTGTCAGTTCTGACATTCCCCACCCAGTAATACACACCTGTAGTTTCTTTTCTTTTCTTTTCTTTTTTTGAGACAGAGTTTCGCTCTGTCACCCAGGCTGGAGTGCGGTGGCGCGATCTCAGCTCTCTGCAACCTCCGCCTCCCAGGTTCAAGCGATTCTCCTGCCTCAGCCTCCCGAATAGCTGGGATCACAGGTGCTCACCACCATGCCCGGCTAATTTTTTGTATTCTTTTTTAGTAGAGATGGGGTTTCACTATGTTGTCCAGGCTGGTCTCGAACTGCTGACCTCAGGCGATCCACCTGCCTCGGCCTCCCAAAGTGCTGGGAGGACAGGTGGGAGCCACCGCGCCCGGCCCTCACCTGTAGTTTCATTGTGTCACAGTGACATCATTCAGGCCGCATCCATTCAAAGAGAAAGCAGGTCATAAGAGAGTCATGTGTCAGGGTGAAATGCTGACTGTGTGCTGTGGCAGCCATCGTCAGCAGGCGTAGGACACACGTGGGCGACGATGGCAAGGCATGGAGTATGGTGTTTATTAGGTACTGGCAAAGGCCCGGGAGTTGAAGATGCCAAGCTGTGCTAAGTGGGAACTGCCTGTCTCAGCTCTCATCCAGCTCCAAGAGCTGAGCAGGCTCCCACTTCAGTGCCTTTGAATCAACTGGACTCTTGGACAGAACAGCACAGGGAGCTTTCCCAGCCACCCGCGAGACAGGCTCCCTCTGGATCACAACAGCGATAATAATAATACCCACAATAGGTCATGCTGATGGAGCAGTCACTGCGTGCCAGGCACTGTATCCTTAAGCTTCAATCCCTCTACATGCTCTTAGCCCCAACTGGGGGAGGGGGCGGCTCTTTGTCCCCAACTGAGTCCCCAGCCACACAAGTTGGTTCTCTCTGAACCCAGAGAAGGACTCTTTTTCTTTTTTCGTTTTTCTTTTTTTTTTTTTTTTTTTGAGACAGAGTCTCGCTCTGTCACCCAGGCTGGAGTGCAGTGGCGCGATCTTGGCTCACTGCAACCTCTGCCTCCCGGGTTCACGCCATTCTCCTGCCCCCCCAAGTAGCTGGGACTGCAGGCGCCCGCCACCACGCCCGGCTAATTTTTTGTATTTTTAGTAGAGATGGGGTTTCACCGTGTTAGCCAGGATGGTCTCGTTCTCCTGACCTCGTCATCCACCCGCCGCGGCCTCCCAAAGTGCTGGGATTACAGGCGTGAGCCACTGCGCCCGGCACGAGGACTCTTTTTCTGCATGCAGTCCAACCCTTGCTCCTACGTGGCCCATGTCATGAAGGATCTGGGGGACTGTGTGTACAAGGAAGGAGGGTGGGCGTGGGGCTCAGTACACGTCTCTCCTCTTCTGGAGACATAGCTCTCCCTGGACTTCTCAGTCAGAGTCAGTTACAGCTCCGTAAATAGAGCAATTCCACTTCCAGGAATTGATCTACTGCTACCCTTGTATCTGTGGGCAGAAATGCGCATGTGGGAGCATGCAAGTTCAGAAACTGGAAACAACCTACTTGTCCATCAGGAGGGGATCCACTGGGTAGATGACAACACCCCCGTGCGATGGGATTTTCCGCTGCGAGGAATGGGTGACTCTGTGTGCACTGAGATGGGGTGGATGCCAAGCTACCTTGCAAAGTGAAAAAGCAGTGGTAATACATGGCGCTACCATTTGGGTTCTAAAAAGACATGCTTGTATGTGATAGAAATTTTCTGGAAATACACAAAAGAAACTGTTAACAGTAGGATACCTCTGAAGAAAGAAACTGGGGCCTGGAGGTCTGGGAGAGGAAAGGAGACTTACTTTTTATTGTATACCCTTTTGTGTTCTTTGAAGTTTTTTTTTGTTTTTTTTTTTTTTTTTACTATGTGCATGTATTATCTTTTCGATTAAAAAGAAAGTTGGGGGAGGTTCAAAAAAAAACAAACTCACAGGCTTTATCTGGCTTCTCAGTCCACCTTTTCTTCCGTTTCCAGCCCGGTCCTACCACCCTGATTCTCAGGCCTTTTCTCAGCTCCTCTCCCTCCCTACAAGCCTATGCCTACCCTTCCCCGGGGCATCCATTACCGCCTCTTACAGGTACTTAAAACCTATCTTTTTGCCTTGAAATACAAATAACTCTAATCTGGAGAGAAGGCTGAGCTCCATTGCACTTATAGAACAGACAGAAATCAGCTGGCACTGAGATGCTCGATAAATGTTTGCTGAATCGAATGGAATCTGCGACTCGGTTGGTTACACTGAGCAAGGTACTAATTGGCCAAGGTCAGGCATCCAAATTGCACATGGGTTGGTGCTCTCTGCGCCTAGAGAGGGACTCGTTCCCTGGATGCTCTCATTTTCTCCATTGTGGCTATGCAGGGGGAGCACTACACATGCAGGAAAGGGTGGGTGCAGGGCTGTGTGCACACCGTCTCCTCTCTTGGAGACACAGCTCAGAGAGACTTTAAGAGGTAGAGCGAAACAACAGTGTGATAGACGGAAAACCCAGCTTTGTAAAAGATTCTGACTCAGAAGCGCATCTGTAGTGGACTCAAAAAGTTCCATGATAATCCCTTCCTTCCTTTCTTCTGTTAGCCTTGATTGTATTACAGTAAGTTTTGTTTTTTGAAACAGGGTCTTGCTCTATTGCCCAGGCTGGAGTGCAGTGGTGTCATCATGGCTCACTGCAGCCTCAACCTCCTGGGCTCAAGCGATCCTCCCACCTCAGCCTCCCGAGTAGCTGGGACCAAAAGTGCATGCCACACATCTGGCTAATATTTTTTATGTTTTGTAGAGATGAGGTCTTCCTCTGTTGCCCAGGCTGGTCTTGAACTCCTGAGCTCAAGCCATCCTCCTGCCTTGCCTTAGCCTCCCAAGGTTCTGGGACTACAGATGTGAGCCACCATGCCCGGCCTACAAGAACTTTTTATTTTTCATTATTTTATTTTATTTGTTTATTTTTGAGATGGAGTCTTGCTTTGTCACCCAGGCTGAGTGCAGTGGCTCGATCTCGGCTCACTGCAACCTCCACCTCCCAGATTCAAGCGATTCTCCTGCCTCAGCCTCTCAGCCTCGCAAGTAGCTGGGATTACAGGTGCCCACCACCATGCCCGGCTAATTTTTTATTTTTAGCAGAGATGGGGTTTCACCGTGTTGATCAGGCTGGTCTCAACCTCTTGGCCTCAGGTGATCCTCCAGCCTCAGCTTCCCAAATATTCTATGCATCCTTGATAATTAAAAAAAAGTTTTTTAATGTACACAACAAAATTTACCATTGTAATCATTTTAAGTGTACAGTTCTGTGGCATTAAGCACACTCACATTGTTGTACAAACTATCGTGACCTTTGTTTTTTGTTTTGTTTTTTTTTGTAGAGACAGGGTCTTGCTGTCTTGCCCGGGCTGGTCTCGAACTCCTAGGCTTAAGCATACTTTCTCCTTCTTGAAATGACACTCAGGCCAGGCACAGTGGCTCACACCTGTAATCCCAGAACTTTGGGAAGCTGAGGCTGGTGGATCATGAGGTCAGGAGTTCGAGACCAGCCTGTCCAAAATGGTGAAACCCCCTCTCTACTAAAAATACAAAAATTAACTAAGCATGGTGGCATGCACCTGTAATCCTGGCTACTCGGGAGGCTGAGGCAGAAGAATTGCTTGAAACCGGGAGGTGGAGGTGGCAGTGAACCGAGATCATGCCATTACACTCCAGCCTGGGCGACAGAGCAACACTTTGTCTCAAAAAATAAAAATAAATAAATAAAAAACATATGACACCCCCACTCCCCGGCTTTCTGTTCTCAGCCAGTGTGATGCTCCAGCACCCTTCTCAAGCCTGTGATCCAGCAGCTGGCCCTGGCTCCAGGGCCCCTCCAGCGTGCTCGCAGTAGAGCCTTCTCGTCCCATTAAGGGTTATGATGAGGAAGCATTTATTTGCCTGCAAGCACAGTGAGTCAGAAAGTTTGATGTGCCTTCCAAAAAAAAAAAAGCCTCTATAATTTTTGGCCACATTAATAGAAGTGTCCAAATCTAGGGCGGTGCAGGATCTGGCTTGCTGTGTGCTGAGCACCCACTGAGTCATCCTCTCCCTCGTCATCTTCCATCAGTTGAGTCCATCTCCTGCACATCCTTTACCTCCATCCCCTCCTCTCCGTTTCCCCCGCCGCCGCTAACCGTCTTAAACCAGGGTCCTACATCTCTTGCTTGGACTACTGCAGTAGCCTCCTGATTGGTGGTCTAGATTACTCTCTGGTCTCCAGCCTCCTTGCCGCAATTAGGGGATGTTAGGGAACACGATGTGATCATATCACTTTGATTGCTTACAATCCTTTAGTGGCTTCCCACGGCTCTTGAAATAGGGGCCCCTGTTTTTAACAGGGCTTTTTAACTGACCTCATGAGATCTGGCCCCTGCCTCTCCTCCAGCCTCATCTCACACCAGTGTCCGCTCATGCTGACTATTTTCTTTCTGTTCCTCACATGTACCTGGGCTGTGCTGCCTGTAATGTTGCCCCTGCCTCAGCCTGCTTACCTGGACAATTCCTACCCTTCTTCTAGAGCCCAGCTCAAAGGATGCTTCCTTGGGAAGTGGTCCTGAGCCTTCCAGACGAGGTCAGGTCCCCCAGTTATAAGTGCCTACAGCATCCAGCATCCATTTATTCATTTCTCCATTCCTTCAGGAAGCATTTAAGACATCAGGGGGTTCAGGCACACTCCTGGGTGCTAGGGATGCGGTGGAGAGAGACACCTCTGGAGAGGGGAGGGATGTTCCATCATTGAGGACTTAATTCTTTCTTTTTCTTTTCTTTTCTTTTTTTTTTTTTTTTGAGACAGAGTCTCTCTCTGTCCCCCAGGCTGGAGTACAGTAAATACAAAATACTGAACATATTCGTGGCTCCTTCTTTTCTTTTCTTTTTTTTTTTTTTTTTTGAGGCGGAGTCTTGCTCTGTCACCAGGCTGGAATGCAGTGACGCCATCTTGGCTCACTGCAGTCTCCACCTCCCAGGTTCAAGCAATTCTCCTGCCTCAGCCTCCTGAGTAGCTGGGACTATAGGCACACCCAGCTAATTTTTGTATTTTTAGTAGAGACGGGTTTTCACCATTGGCCAGGATGGTCTCGATCTCTTGACCTCGTGATCTGCCCACCTCAGCCTCCCAAAGTGCTGGGATTACAGGCGTGAGCCACCATGCCCGGCCTCCTTCTTTTCCTTTTTTTCCTTTTTTTCTGAGATGGAGTTTCGCTCTTGTTTCCTAGGCTGGAGTGCAATGGTGTGATCTCAGCTCACTGCAACCTCCACTTCCTGGGTTCAAGTGATTCTCCTGCCTCAGCCTCCCGAGTAGCTGGGATTACAGGTGTGTGCCACCACACCCGGCTAATTTTTGTATTTTTAATAGAGATGGTGTTTCACCATGTTGGCCATGATGGTCTTGAAATCCTGACCTCAGGTGATCCACCTGCCTTGGCCTCCCAAAGTGCTGGGATTACAGGCGTGAGCTACCGCACCCAGCATGAGGGCTTAATTATTTCTGGTCAGAGATATTGTGGGATAATGTGTGGAAAGTCCGTGTGTGTGTGTGTGTGTGTGTGTGTGTGTGTGTGTGTGTGTGTGTGTGTCCCTGAACTCACACACATCTGCAGTGCAGGCAAACAGGTGCTGTGATTTTGTTGGCTGTGAAATCACACTGCTTCAGAGCTAGAAGGACCCTTGGAAATGGCCAGACCTGGGGACCTGAAGGGTGAGACTCTGGTTACAAAAGACGGAAACAAAACCACTGGGACAGAGCGGGAATCTTACAGGCTCATGAAACAGACAGCCTCGTCCTCAGGTGCATCTTGAGCCCATGGTGTCTCCGGACGTGGTTTCTCCTTCTTGGCTTCTTGGCATGGCTTCACGGAGTTGGCGTCATTCTCAGAAGGATCCAGCAGCTCCAGGTTTCCATCTGTCCCTCCTCCCGGAAAAGGAGAACTTCTCTTCCCCCACAGGCTTGAACGAAAGTTGTGGGCCTGATAACATTGGCTCAAATTCAACCCTGAACCAGTCATGGAGGCCTGGGAGCAGGTGTTGATTGGGTACGAGCCCACTCCGGAAGGTGGGGGCTGAGCTGGCTCTATCATGGCGCATGGGTGGAGAGCTGGGGGAGGGGACCGGCTCTCCCAAAGGAAAAGCAGGGTTCTGTGGCTAAAAGGAGGGGAACATATCATGGGTGGCCCAAACTCCCTGTAATAAATGGCTGCCTACAGGTGGTTTGCTGAACCTTTTTTCTTTCTCCTTCGCACCTGCCTGCGTTACTCAGAACCCCACTTGGTCCCCTTGTCGCAGCGGCAGCCCCGAAGGCACCCACTTATCTTGTCCAGCCCCCTCATTTTGCAGATAAGGAAGCTGCGGCTTAGAGATGTCCTCAAGGTCGCACGGCTCAGTTGCAGCAGAGCCAAGCCTGGAACCCAGGCCTGGAAGCCTGTGAGCATTGTGTCATGTGGTGGGCAGAGCCTGGGCCTGGGTCGGGGGGCAGGGCCTGAGTCTGGGGTCAGCCTGCCGGACCTGACTCCTGGCTCTGTGACTCCTGGCTATGAATTTTTTTTTTTTAATGGCTATTACAACAAACTCGTTAGTTTAAAACCAGAGAAATTTATTCTCTCACAGTTCTGGAGGCCAGAAATCTGAAATCAAGGTGTTGGCAGGACTGTGCACCCCACGAAGGCTCTTCCAGCTTCTGGGGGCCGTGGGGGTTCTCTGTGGCTGCATCGCTCCAGTCTCTGCCTCCGACTTCACGTGGCTTCCCTCTGTCTCCTCCTCTTCTGTCTCTTATAAGGAAATTTGTCATTGCATTTATGGCCCTTTGGGGTAATCCAGGATGATCTTATCTCAAGATCTTTAACTTAATTACATCGACAAAGACGCCTTTTTCCAAATAAGGTCACAGGCTCCAGGGATATGGATGTGGACATATCCTTTTGGGGGGCCACCATTCAATTCACTCCAGGGACCTTGGGCAAGTCACTTAACCTCTGTGCACCTCAGTTTTGTCATCTGTAAAGTGAGGTTAATAATAATACCTACTTCATCGGGTGGTCATGAGGATTAATACACAATAATCCTCACCGAGTCCTTCACAGGGTGCCGAGCACTTGGTAAGCACTCAAGAGATGCTAATTGTTATTATGACTCTGTGGACCCCAGATCCCGCCTGGTTTTCCTGTGACCTTCTGGAGATGGCTCTCTTCCACCAACGGGCCTAGTCCTCTCTGCTAGTAGCAGTAGAGACAAGAGAGGTGGTTCGTGTCTTGGTGGAGACAGAGCTGTCAAGGTTATAGGCAAGTGTCTTCCTGCTTGTTGCTTAGCTGGGGCCATCCTACTGTCCCTGAAGGCTGGGGTTCCTGAGGCCTGCAGCTGAGAGGCGGGGCAGCTTGAGGAGGTCTCCTGCCAATCAACCTCTCACCCTGGCTCTGGAGGCCGGCCTGGGAACCCTGTGATTTACAGTGATGAAATGCAAATTGCAGAGATTCCACACTTCCCCTGTGGCTGAGATCCCATCAGCATCCTATCCCCCTTACCTGGGGCTCCTCCAGGGCTCATTTGGTGGATTCCATTGGCAGAGCACCTCCTCAGCCACCAGACGGCTGGCTTCCTACATCTGTCACACCTGTACTGTGACAATGTAATTTTTATCTCTGGTTGTTTATTTCTCAGATGGAACTACTTGTAAATTCCAAGAAGAAAATATATCCCTATGTGTGACAGAACCAGCCCAGGGCGATTAATCTGGGCTTTTAAAGCCGGGAATGTAAACCCGGTTTATGTTCCTCCGTGCATAAGTGTCCAGTAATCAACCATAGCTATTAATTGTCCCCCAGTGAAGCAGTGGACCCAGGAGGGGGTGGACTCAGTAGGATTTGATGCAGATGGATGGGAATGGGATCTTCGTTTCCCATCTGCCAGGCGGCTTGCGAGCCCTGGGGACAGAGAGTAGGAGGCAGGTGGCTTGATCCCAAGAGGTTCCAAAGGTAGAGGGAAGGCCCACATTTCCGGGCAGAGTTGACAGAGGAGGTGAGAAGAAGGAGGGGACCTAGGGCATTGGTGCAGGCACTCAGGGAGTGAACACCTTTGTGCCAGGAGCACAGGCTTGTGGAGTCCAGCAGGCCCAGGTTCAAATCCAATCCCCACCACTTGCCAAACACCTTCCTGGAAGTTCCTTCACCTGACAGGAGAGTTTCATGATCAGTTAAAAAGGAACAAAGTATATTTGCCTGAAAGGGTCATTGAGAGAATGAAATGAGCAGTGCGTGAAAAATGCTTGTCGCATATAACGGGGTGTTCAGCCTAAGTGAGTTCCATTTCTCCTATTTTTCTTTTTTCTTTTTTTTTTTGAGATGGAGTTTCGCTCTTGTTGCCCAGGCTGGAATGCAGTGGCAGGATCTCGGCTCACTGCAACCTCCGCCTTCTGGGTTCAAGCGATTCACCTGCCTCAGCCTCCTGAGTAGCTGGGATTACAGGTGTGTGCTACCACGCCCGGCTAATTTTTGTATTTTTAGTAGAGACGGGGTTTCACCATGTTGGCCAGGCTGGCTTCGAGCTCCTGACCTCAGATGATCCACTGGCCTCGGTCTCCCGAAGTGCTGGGATTACAGGCGTGAGCCACGGCGCCCGGCTCTCCTGTTTTTCTTGAAGGCCTCGGGGCAGGGCTCATTCCTGCAGAAGATGAAAGTCGCAGAAAGGATCAGAATTCTCAAGTTGGGAGGAAGTTTGAGAACATCTCATACAAAGCTCAGTAGAGTTTTGGGGAAGTGACTTAGAAGCTGGGATGGGGCCAGGCACCATGGGCTCCTGGCTGGAATCCCAGCACTTTGGGAGGCTAAGGAGGGAGGGTCGCTTGAGTCCAGGAGTTTGAGGCTTCAGTGAGCTATGACTGGGCCACTGCACTCCAGCCTGTTTGACAGAGCGAGACCCTGTCTGGAAAGAATGAAAAGAAGCAGCAGCGGCTGGGATAGAACTCAGCCTCCTCACTGTCACCTGTGTCACCTTCACGCCAAGCTGCTTCCAGAGCAGAGCAGCGGCCTTGACTCGGCTTCTCAGGCTCCTACAGGGCACCTGGTGGGCCTCAGGCATCCACAGGCCCCTAGAACAATAGGTGTAGGTGCATTTTAGGGGGGAGAATATCCATGGGCTTTATCGGCTTCTCGAAAGGAGCCCCCGTTCAAAATGATCAAGAATTTCTTTGGACTCTGTGATATTGTGACTAAATGGGGGAAGGGAAGGTGCTGCCCGCCCTGCCCACCTGCATTTGGTGTATACAGCTGGCCTTGAGACATGATCTGGGGGTTTCCTCGGCCTCAGGGCTCCGGCCAGCCCTTATTCCAGCCTGGTTCTACCAGGGGAAACCAGCTTACATGTCCCAGCCGGGAGGGAGCAGGGTTCCGATCCGGATTGGGTGGAGCCTAAAGGTTTTGTGGACCCCGTTATGAAAACGAGTCATGAGTACGGAGTTAGGTTCAGGACCCGGCGCCGTGGCTCACACCTGTAATCCCAGCACTTTGGGAGGCTGAGGTGGGAGGATTGCTTGAGCCCAGGAGTTCGAGACCATCCTGGACACACTGGGTAAGACCCCGTCTCTACAAAAAAAATAGAAAATGTTAGCCAGGCATGGTGGTGCCTGCCTATGGTCTTAGCTGCTTGGGTAACTGAGGTGGGAGGATCGCTTGAGCTCAGGAGTTTGAGACCATCCTGGACACACCTGGTAAGACCCCGTCTCTACAGAAAAAATAGAAGCTGTTAGCCAGGCGTGGTGCTGTGTGACTATGGTCTCAGCTGCTCGGGTGGCTGAGGTGGGAGGATCGCTTGAGCCTAGGAGGCGAAGGCTGCAGTGAACCTCGTTCCCGAATTAGGTGCAGCGTCTTGGGAAGGGCTTGCGGATGTTTTGTTAGTATCACTGTCAATTGGCCCCCGCTGGTGTCATTACTGGACAAGTATCCTCAGAAGAATGTGAGGTCTCGGCCAGGTGTGGCGGCTCACGCCTGTCATCCCAGCCCTTTGGGAGGCTGAGGCAGGTGGATCACTTGAGGCCAGGGGTTCAAGATCAGACTGTACAACATGGTGAAACCCTGTCTCTACTAAAAACACAAAAATTAGCCGGGTGTGGTGGCGGGTGCCTGTAATCCCAGCTGTAATCCCAGCTACTGTAATCGCTTGAACCTGGGAGGTGGAGGTTGCAGTGAGCCGAGATGGCGCCATTGCACTCCAGCCTGGGTGACAGGGCGAGACTCTGTCTCAGGAAAAAAAAAAAAAAGAAGAAGAAGAAGAATGTGAGGTCTCAGCATAGCTCCACCACCAAATGGCCCCCCAGAGGCACTTGCCCAGTTTGCGGGTTGCTGCCCTGCGGGGTGCCTGAGAGAGAACTGGGGAAAACCCAGCCCTTCAAGGAGCTCACAGCAAAGGGAGCCCAGCCTGTGGCACACAGTGACTGTCAGCCGCTGCCCCTCCCTGAGGTTCGCTTTACCTCCTGCTCAGCCACCCCATTCCTCCTTCCTCTGGGTCAGCAAGTTGTCGAACTTTCCTCACTCCATTTTCAGGGTTACCCAGCAACCTGGAGCTGTCGGGGAGCCTGGCGGTCCACCTCCATGCAGGAGGGGAGGGCTTCCTGCACGGCGTCGAGGGCCCGGTGTTTGTGGAACTGCCCCTTCCCAGAGTTTCTTTTCTTTTCTTTTCTTTTCTTTTCTTTTCTTTTGAGACGGAGTCTCGCTCTGACCCCCAGGCTGGAGTGCAGTGGCGCGATCTCGGCTCACTGCAACCTCCGCTCCCTGGTTCATGCCATTCTCCTGCCTTGGCCCCCCGAGTAGCTGGGACTACAGGCGCCCGCCACCATGCCTGGCTAATTTTTTTTTGTATTTATAGTAGAGATGAGGTTTCACCGTGTTAGCCAGGATGGTCTCGAACTCCTGACCTCGTGGTCCGCCCGCCTCGGTCTCCCAAAGTGCTGGGATTACAGGCGCGAGGCACCTCGCCCGGCTTCCTCTTCTCTTCTCTTCTCTTTTCTTTTTGAGACAAAGTCCTATTCTGTTCACCAGGCTGGAGTGGAGTGGCGTGATCTCAGCTCACTGCAACCTCCGCCTCCTGGGTTTAAGCGATTCTCCTGCCTCATCCTCCTGAATAGCTGGGATTACAGGCACTCTCCACCACGCCCAGCTAATTTTTGTAGTTTTTAGCAGAGATGGGTTTTCACCATGCTGGCCATGCTGGTCTGGAACTCCTGACCTCAGGTGATCCACCCGCCTCGGCCTCCCAAAGTGCTGGGATTACAGGCGTGAGCCACCGTGCCGGCCAGTTTCAATACATAAATACTCACTCTTGTGTTACAGTTGCCTGCCGTGTTCAGCACAGGCACGTGCTGTGCAGGTTTGTAGCCTAGGAGCAGTGGGCTATCCCATATAGCCTAGGTGTGCGGTAGGCTCTAGCATCTAGATTTCTGTAAGTATACTCTATGATGTTTGCACAGTGAAATGGTCTGATGATACATTTCTCAGAACACACCCTGTCATTAAGTGATGCATGACTGTGCTTGTTGGGTACAAGCTGTGTCCCAGACACTGCACTGTGGGTTCTAGAGCTTCCTGGGAGAACAGCAGTCCAGGCTGAGGCACACAGCTCCCAGGGCAGTGTGTACCAGCACGTCAGCCACAGCTCAGGCTGGAGCAGGCTCAGCTGGAAGGAGGCAGTGACTCGTGTGAGGCTGCTCAGGGTGGACCAGGTCAGCCTATCTGCACACGAGGCAGCCACAGGGCATGAGGGAGGGAAGACCTCAGCACAGCCAATCTGCACACGAGGCAGCCGCAGGGCAAAAGGGAGGGAAGGCCCAGCAGTCCCCTTTCCCTAAAGTCTCTGGAAAGCAGAGTTATGCAAAGAAAAAAATACCAAGATGGAGTCAGCTTCATTTCTAGGTTTTTGTTGTTGTTGTTTTTGGAGACAAGGTATCACTCTGTCACCCAGGTTGGAGTTGCAGTAGCACGATCACGGCTCACTGCAGCCTTGACCCCCAGAGCTCAAGTGATCCTCCCTCCTCAGCCTCCCAGGTAGCTGAGACTACAGGTGTGCACTACTATACCCAGATAATTTTAAATTTTTTTGTAGGGACGGAGTCTCCTTATGTTGTCCAGGCTGGTCTTGAACTGGGCTCAAGTGATCCTCCCTCCTCAGCCTCCCAAAGTGCTGCCAATGTCCTAGGCACGAGGCTCCCAGGAAACTGCTGGCCTCTTGCACTGTGACTCCCTGTGGGTCACAAGGGGCTCCTGTGGAGCACTTTACCCCATCAGTGCCTCCTGCCTGATGAGTGTGGCTCCAGGAAGCAGCCAGGGACAGGGGCCAGTTTTGGCCCCCTGGGAAACTCTGCTCCACTTCTTTTTTTTTTTTTTTTTTTTGAGATAGAATCTCACTCTGTGGCCCAGACTGAAGTGCAGTGGTGTGATCTCCGCACACCGCACTGCCACCTCCTGGGTTCAAGTGATTCTCCTGCCTCAGCCTCCTGAGTAGCTGGGATTACAGGCTACACCACCACACTCGGCTGTTTTTGTGTATTTTTAGTAGAGACGGGGTTTCTCCATGTTGGCCAGGCTGGTCTTGAACTCCTGACCTCAGGTGATCCGCCCGCCTCAGCCTCCCAAATGCTCCACTTTGATAAGGATTTAAATAGGTTGCTGAGCGGGCCCATGAATTAATCTCTTGTGTTTGTTTATTTATTTTTACTATAAAAGTAATATATGTCATCTGTGGAAAGTATGAAAAGTACAGAACGCTATAAAGAAGTGGGAGGGAGGCAAATACCCAGGGCAGAGCCAAGCACCACTGTTAGCATGTGAACATGTTTGCTCTCCACCGAATAGCCGAAGCTTTTAAAAAGCCCCATGGAAACATTAGTGTCAAAAGCTGCCTGGGATCCTATGGAATTGGAATTTGTCTTTTTAAGAAAACATATCAGGCCAGGCATGGGGGCTGATGCCTGTAATCTTAGCGGTTTGGGAGGCCGAGGCAGGCAGATCACTTGAGCCCAGGAGTTCCAAACCAGGCTGGGCAACATAGTGAGGTCCTGTCTCTACTAAAAAAAAAAAAAAAAAAAATTAGCTGAGCGTGGTGGCACGAGCTTGTAGTCCCAGCTACTTGGGAGGCTGAGGTGGGAGGATCACCTGAGCCTGGGAGGTCAAGGCTTTGGTGAGCCGTGATTGTGGCACTGCACTCCAGGCTGGGCGACGGAGTGAGGCCCTGTCTCAAACAAAAAAGAAAAGAAAAGAAAAAATATATCTGAGCCAAGTGGATTAGGAGTGCTGGGATTTTAAGACACCCCCAGGCCAGGGTGTGTGGGAAAGGGCCTGGGCCTTCAGCTCCTGGGGCTCAGCATGGCTTCTCAGGAGAATCCCAAAAGGCTGGATGGGGTTTGCCTGAAGAACAGAGATTTCCTTCTCCACGCAATTCCGGGTCTGAGCACTTTCACGCTTGGCCTGCCTAGCGGTAAGCGGCAGTCAAGGGGGGAGGAGGAGGGAAGGGGTGGGGAGGTGCTCTCCAAAGAGAAGGGCCACCCTACTGGGCAAAGGGCTGGACTTGGCTGGCCTGTTTTTTCCCCTTTTCTGTCCTGGTCTGTCTCTGGCCCTGCTGAATAGCAGGTGCGCAGTGATTGCTTCAGGAAGGCAGAGATCTTAGTATAGGCTGGTGAAGACTCCCATGGGGAATGCTACTTAGAGGGACAGAGGAAAGCTAGGGCCAAGACAGGGTGAGTCAGTTGGGCAGTTAGGCAAAGCCTTGAGTGGTACTCCCAACCCACACCCCCCCACTCAGCATTTCTTTTCTTTCCTTCTTTGTCTTTTTTTTTCTTTTTTTTAGACAGGGTCTTGCTGTGTCACCCAGGCTGGAGTGCAGTGGCGCACGCATAGCTCATTGCAGCCTTGACCTCCTGAACTCAAACAATCCTCCCACCTCAGCCTCCTGAGTAGCTGGGACCACAGGCGTGTGCCACCATGCCTGGGTAATTTTTTGTATTTTTTTGTAGAGATGGGGTTTTTTGTTTTTTATTTTGGTTTTTTTGAAGCAAAGTCTGGCTCTGTCGCCCAGGCTGGAGTGCAGTGGCGCTATCTTGGCTCACTGCAACCTTTGCTTTCCAGGTTCAAGCAATTCTCCTGCCTCAGCCTCCTGAATAACTGGGATTACAGGTGCGTGCCACCACGCTCAGCTAATTTTTGCATTTTTAGTAGAGATGGTGTTTCACCGTGTTGGCCAGGCTGGTCTTGAACTCCTGACCCCAAGTGATGCACTCGCCTAGGCGTCCCAAAGTGCTGGGATTACAGGCGTTGGCCTCAGTGTTTCTTTAGGATTGATGGAAATGGTGCTAAGAGGCAGCAGATGAGGGGGCCACACCTTCTGCTATCTGGGCATAGCCACCACGTGGGGAAGCCAGGTGGCCCTCCACCCTTCTCTGGGCCCTACCTCTGAGAGGTTCCCTGCACAGGTTACTGGAAGTGGGGTGTGGTGGGGAGCTTGGAGCACTGTGTTGGGATTCTCTGCAGCAACTCTGGGACTTGTGCCTAATGGCAACAGCTTCCAGTTCCCAAAGGAACCATTTCTTTCTCTGAGCTGAATGGAGGGCTATTTGCTAAGCACCACGCTCCATGCTCCGTGCGCACTACCTCACTGAATCCGCACAGCAGCCCACCCTCCACCCCCCCCATTTTCCGGATGAGCAAACTGAGAGGTTGCAAGACTGGCTAAAGGTCACACAGTCACCGGCTGGGATCCAAACGCAGCCTAATTCCAAGCAAGAGCTGTTGGCCACTATTCTTGGCTGCTGTTGCTGGGAGGCCGGCTGCAGAGCCCACCTGGGCGCTTCCGCCTGGATGGCTGTTGCGGACGGTCGGCCAAGCCTCTCCTCTAAAGGCTTCTGCTCCACGAGCCCGTCCTCTGGGGACAGGAGAAGGTGTATGTGTGGCCCAAAGCAGAGCCCAGGTCCTGGAGAGGGAGGTGCCTCCCGTCCCCATTCTTGGGTTCCCCTGAAGTGCTGGGTTTGGATCCCAGTGGGGTGGGGACCCTGGAGGCCGCTTGCACGGGTCGGGGCTCTTGGCCACTGATTTCAAGGCCGGTGATGCGACGCCTGGAGACAGCAGAGGCGGCAGGAGCACCCTGGGGTTAAATGCAGCCCAGCAGGGCCTGGCAGCCGCCCCAACCTTGACCCCCACAGGCAATGGCGGTTCCTCCCTCCCCGAGAGTGCAGGAGGCGGGGCCGCGGGAGGGTTGCGGTGCGTGCAGCTGCGGGGTGCCGGATGCGGAGTGAGAGATGCGGGGTGCAGGATGCGGGGTGCGGGATCCGGGGTGCAAGATGCGGGATGAGGGGTGCGGGGTGCAGGATGCAGGATCCAGGGTGCAGGGTGCGGGGTGCGGGACGCGGGGCTCCGATGCAGGTGCGGGATGCGGGGTGCAGGATGCAGGATGCGCCCCCGACCCCGGCTCCCACCCGGGCGGCCCGCGGCCGCTGGTTGGCTCCCGGGAGCGCCGCTCGCCCTATCACACACCTGCGCGGTTGCCAGGCAACTGGGACAGAGTTGTAACACCTCGGTGAGGGCCGGGATGGGGTTTTTAATCTGCTGGCTGCTCCGGGTCTCTCCTCAGAAGTTGGAGACGGATGACATTGGTTTCCCTCTGCAAAGGGACCTCCTCCCGCCCCCACTTACCGCTCCCCTCCCCCAGCCCCAGGCCCCGCGGTCTCTGGCCAGGCCGCCCCAGGTCTCCCAGCCGCGGGTGGTTCCTGGGTCCCAGACACCCCAGGCCGGCGGGCGGGGTGGGGGGCGGCACTGGGCGGCTCTCGACCCCGCTCTTGTTTGGGGAAAGTCATCCTCAGGGGGATGGGGACCTCCGCCTGAGACGAGGTGGTGGATCCAGGGAGAACCCCGAAGGTGGGGAAGGGCAGGCTCCAAGGTCGTCAGGGTCACCACCGCCGTTGCTGGCCTTGGACTGACCTTGGGGTGGAACGACCTTGGGGTGGCCGTGGGGTGGGTGCGGGGCGCTCTCGGGCCTGACTCTGCCTTTCTATTGCCTGGGTGTTCCCCAGACTCTAGTCTCTGCCTCGCACCTTCCCAGCGTCTCGCCCGTCTGTGCACACCTGCACTATTTTTGCACTTCTGTTTTCTTCCGTAGATTGACCCATTTTCACTTAGATAAATGTATTTTAAAAGGAAACTGGATACGGCATCTTTAAGTGGAGAGGCAGAGTATCTATCACCTGCCATAAACAGAAACTAACTGTAAAAATAAATACAAAGAAACAAAATGTGATTAAATGGTAGCACAGGGAGTCTGATCTGAGAGGCCACAATGGTAACAAAATAAGCACTTACTCCGAGCCAGGCACTAGCTAAGCACTGTACCTGGACTGGCTCATTTGATCTCATGTTATCAATGTTCCCATTTCACAGATACAGACGCTGAGGTTCAGAGAAGCTAAGGGCTTTGGCCAAGAGCAAATAGCCACTAAATGACAAGTTGAGTCCCAGCCGAGTTCCACCCAAAGACCGGGCTTTAGTTTTAACCATGGCCTGTGCTGTCTCTGGACAGTGTCACCCCTGGCTCCCTGCCCCGTGAGCTGGGTGGTGGTCTCTTTCCAGGAGTGGGGCAATGGTTTGAGCCCCAACTGCAGTGGTTTTTGCCTAGATTCAGGGACTGTAACTAGGTACTCAGATAAACTGCACGGCCTCCCAACAGCCCTGGGAAGTACCCCACTGTAGCTCAGAAACTGAGGCTCAAGGAGGCCAATCCACCTGCCCAAAGTCACACTGCTGCTGAGTGGCAGGGCCAGGATGTGGGTCCCGTTTCCTTCTGCAGCACCAACACTACTTAAACCTCTTTGTAACTCCCTCAACCTCATGCAGAGAGAAGATCCTTTCATTCTTAGCAAACCTTACAGTGAAACTGAGACTTCTCACAGGGAATCAAATCTCCATCTGGGGAAAGTGTTCATTATTTGAACCCAGACCAGGCCATGGGCCGACACCTCTTCAGAGAGGAGCCTGGTCTCTGGAACCTTGACCTTCTAGGGTTGAGTGAAGACCCCTGGGGCCAGCCCCCTGCCCCTGGGCCTTCTCGTGGCTCAGCAAGACTCCTGTAGCCCTGGGCTATTGTTTGGCTTTGGGATTTGCCCTCCTGGGAACATAGTCCATCATTGCCTATCAACATGAGTGACTGCCTTTCTCACTCCAGAGCTGGCTCATTCTTACCTGAAAGAGAAAGAACAAGGGTGCATTTGGAGAGGGAGGAAAATCATATGTTATTTTTAAAAGGCATTTTGAGTGAGTGCTGAATAGAGTTCAAGAAAATTGCCTTAAAGACCTGCTCTCTGCAGGGATGGCGTTTCTCACGGCTCCCAAGTATTTGTACGGGCTACTGTTTTTATTTATTTCTGGTCTCAGGGGTGGGCTTTGAAGATTGTGCTCTCTCTGTAGTGGTTTTCTTTATCTCAAATAAATTTCGCACACCCGTGAGGTAGATCGTCTTGAAAGAAACTGTGTCAGAATTGGCTCTCGATTCAGTAAATCTGCAAATGGTGCAGGGTTCAGTGAGATGATGTGGCCTTAGCTTGCTTTGAGCCTCCTGTCACACGGTGCAGCTTAATCTCCCTTCCACCAAAGCTTTCTATTTTTCTTTTCCTTTCTTTTTCTTTTTTGAGTCAAAGTCTCACTCTGTTGCCCAGGCTGGAGTGCAGTGGCGCAATCTCAGCTCACTGCAACCTCCACCTCCCGGGTTCAAGCGATTCTCCTGCCTCAGCCTCCCGAGTAGCTGGGATTACAGGTCCGCGCCACCACACCTGGCTAATTTTTGTATTTTTAGTAGAGACAGACTTTCACCATGTTGGCCAGGCTGGTCTCCAACTCCTGACCTCAAGTGATCCACCCACCTCGGTCTCTCAAAATGCTGGGATTACAGGCATGAGCCACCACGTCTGGTCCCCCCAAAGTTTTCTGCTGATGCTCTGAACTGCAGAGTCTCAGCTCACATCTTCATTGAAACCCTTTTACTACCCCAAGGAAGAAGCCAGTCAGGGTGGAGGAGACTCATTTCTGGGTGGGTGTTTGGGACATTTTAGGTAAAGATGCTAATAAGAGGCTTTAGGTTAATCGTAGAACAGCTCCTCTCTGCTGGGGATTTCCTCGGCTCCCTGTACCATGTCTTCTCTCAAAACTAGAAAGTACATTTTGGGATCAGAGCCGTGTGCTGAGAGCAAGGTAGGAGTTAGATCACCATGGGTGGGGGTGCCGCAGGTGCCAACACTCAGGGCAGTGGGGGCCCCTGGGCCTCTGGATTCTACCCCATGGAAAGATGGTAGTGGAAGGGCTAAATGCTTGGCCTTTAGCAGCGAGTGAGGCTGAGTTTCAGTGCAGGCTTGTTCCTTCCCAGCTAGTAAAGGTGCTGGGACATCCCATTTGCCCTTCCATCAGGCACCATGCCTGGGAAGCTGGCCTATGCTGATGACACCAGTGGGCTCCTGCCCTCGGCCTTCAGGTTCAGCCGATGGGAGACAGTGGCAGGTGAGCAGAGTGAGAGAGGGGAGTGAGGAGGAGAGTGACCGCTGGGTATTTATTCCCTCCCCCCTCCCCACCCCCACAGGCTGGCACTGCCCCTGACCAAAGTTCTCGCTCTGGTCAGAGCCCGTCTCCACCTGGCTTCCCTGTTTGGGTTCCCATTTCCAGTCCCTTTCTTTACCCTTTCAGACCCTGGGTAGTAACACCAGTGGGTTCTTGCCTGTTATTTACTATCCCTGTGGATGCCCTAGGCCCCACCCACACCTTTGTCAATCATCCCTTTATTAAACTCTCCTCAAATTACATAATGACACTCAGCTGACACAGTGGTCCTGGACAAGTCATTTACCTCTCTAAGCTTTGGTTCTCTCTCATCTGTAAAATGGAGGGTTTGTTCTGTTTTTGAGATAGAGTCTTGCTCTGTCGCCCAGGCTGGAGTGCAATGACACAATCTCAGCTCACTGCAACCTCCACCTCCTGGGCTCAAGCCATCCTCTCATCTCTGCAGCTGGGTCTACAGTAGTTCTGTGTCCCCACCCAGATCTCATCTGGGACTGCAGACAAGTAGCTGGGACTACAGACACAGGCCACTGTGTCTGGCTAATTTGTTGTATTTTTTTGTAAAGATGGAGTTTCGCCCTGTTGCCCAGGCTGGAAAGTTTTATTATTAAACAGTTTCCATGTGTGGTGGTAGTGAGAACTAAATGTAACCTTTCCCCCCTCCTAAGGATAGCTTTTTTTTTTTTTTTTTTTTCTGAGACGGAGTCTCGCTCTGTCGCCCAGACTGGAGTGCAGTGGCGCAATCTCGGCTCACTGCAATCTCCGCTTCATGGGTTCAAGCTATTCTCCTGCCTCAGCCTCCCCGGTAGCTGGGATTACAGGTGTACACTACCACACCCGGCTAATTTTTGTACTTTTAGTAGAGACGGGGTTTCACTATGTTGGCCAGGCTGGTTTCAAACTCCTGACCTCAGGTGATCCGCCTGTCTCGGCCTCCCAAAGTGCTGGGATTACAGGTATGAGCCACCACACCCGGCCAGCTCTTTTTAACTAAATGTATCATTATATGCAAAGTGTAACCTTGTCCCTCAAGCTAACATGCGGGGCTGGGGCCAGGCCTCAGAGACAGAAATGATGGGGACAGGACTGGTCAGTCACGTCTGTCCTTGGACCAATGGGAGTCTCTGCTTTCTGTTCATGACCTAGTTTGGGTGGAGGACACCAGGGGAGCAGAATCCTGAGGAACTCAAGAAGCTGGGATTGCTTTTTTTTTTTTTGACATGGAGTCTTGTTCTGTTGCCCACGCTGGAGTGCAATGGCGCGATCCCGGCTCACTGTAACCTCAAGTGATTTGCCCGCCTCAGCTTCCCAAAGTGCTGGGATTACAGGTGTGAACCACCCCACCCAGACTTTTTTTTTTTTTTTTTTTAAGACAGTGTCTCACACTATTGCCCAGGCTGGAGTGCAGTGGTGCAATCTCAGCTCACTGCAACCTTCACCTCCCAGGTTTCCAGTGATTCTCCCACCTCAGCCTCCCAAGAAGCTGGGATTATAAGCGTTTGCCACTACGCCCGGCTAATTTTTTTGTATTTTTAGTAGAGACGGGGTTTTGCCATGTTGGCCAGGCCGGTCTTGAACTCCTGATCTCGAGTGATGTGCCTGCCTCAGCGTCCCAAAGTGCTGGGATTACAGGCATGAGCCGCCGTGCCCAGCCTAGTCTTTATTTGTTGTTATTGGGAAACAAAAGCAGCCACAGATTTCGTGCAACATGGTATCCACTGAGAATGCAAAAGAAAGAAACAGATGACACCTGATATCCCCGCTGGAGCAGCAGGTGGGGGTCGGACTCTGCATTTCATTTCGGCCGCTGCTTCATCTGCAGAGAGGAGAGAAGTCCAGCTCCAGCCAGGCTCTCTCTGGCCTGGTCCCCTCTGGAGGTTCATTTAGTCTTTGGGTTTGAGGATTCAGGAAACAACAGAATCGCATAGAAAATGGGCCTGTGGAGGAGTCTGTGAACAGTTAGCGTTGATGCCAGTGCCTGTCTGGAAAGTGAGAAGGACGTGGACGATGGGTCTCTGCTCTCGAGGCACTTGCGGCTGAGTCGGGAAGTTCACTTTTACTCAGGAAATGATGAGAGCTCCACGTGGGCGGGAAAACAGGCACGAGTCTGGGGCAGGCTAGGGTCGAGGAAATCTCCAGGGAGAAGGGAGACTTGACCTTAGGGTGGAGACAGAGGGTAGAGAGGGCGTTGCAGGGGAGGGGCCGCAAAGCGGGAAGGGTCAAGGGTGGCCAGGCTGAAGGGAGCAGGAGGGGTGGCCTGAGAGCGGCCAGAAATCTAAGAGGGGGCACAGAGTTATCACTCTGGCTTATTCAGGGCCTTGAAGCCAGGCCGGGTGTTTAGAACAGGAAGTAGGACTCTAGGAGCACTTAGAGAGGGGTTTGATTTTACTTTTTTTTTTAAATTTTTATTTATTTATTTATTTATTTTTGAGACCGAGTATTGCTCTGTCACCAGGCTGGAGTGCAGTGGCGCGATCTCTGCTCACTGCAGCCTTCACCTCCTGGGTTCAAGCCACTCTCCTGCCTCAGCCTCCCAAGTAGCTGGGACTACAGGTGCCTGCCACCACGCCCAGCTAATTTGATTTTACTTTATTTTTTGAGACAGCATCTTGCTCTGTTGCCCAGCTGGAGTGCAGTGGTGTGATCACAGTTCACTGCAGCCTTGACCTCCTGGGCCCAAGTGATCTTCCCACCTCACCCTCCCAAGTAGCTGGGACTACGGGTGTGTGCCACCACACCTGGCTAATGTTTAAAATTTTTTTTTTTTTTTTTTGAGAGGGAGTCTGGCTCTGTCGCCCAGGCTGGAGTGCAGTGGCGCAATCTCGGCTCACTGCAAGCTCCGCCTCCCAGGTTCATGCCATTCTCCTGCCTCAGCCTCCCGAGTAGCTGGGACTACAGGCGCCCGCCACCACACCTGGCTAATGTTTTGTATTTTTAGTAGAGACGGGGTTTCACCATGTTAGCTAGGATGGTCTCGATCTCCTGACCTCGTGATCCACCCGCCTCTGCCCCCCAAAGTGCTGGGATTACAGGCTTGAGCCACCGTGCCTGGCCTAAATTTTTTTTTTGTAGAGACAGGGTCTCCTTCTGTTGTCCAGGCTGGTCTCCAAGGCCTGAGCTCACACAACCCTCCCACCTCAGCCTCCCGACGTGCTGGGATTACAGGTGTGAGCCACCATGCCCAGCCAAGTACGTGGCTTTGCAGTTAGACCTTCCTGCTCAGAGCCTCAGTTCTACCTCTTTCTAGTTATTCCTTCACCTCTTTGAGGCTCAGCTTCCTCATCTATAAAACTGAACAAATAGTAGCGTATTACTCCGTTTTCACACTGCTGTAAAGAAACACCCGAGACTGGGTGATTTATAAACGAAAGAGGTTTAATTGACCTACAGTTCTGCGTGACTGGGGAGGCCTCAGGAAACTTACAATCATGGCGGAAGGGGAAGCAAACACATCCTTCTTCGCAAGGCGACAGGAGAGAGAGCATGTGAAGGAGGAACTGTCAAACACGTATAAACCATCAGATCTCATGAGAACTCCCTCACTATCACGAGAACAGCAAGGGAGAAACTGCCTCCATCATCCAATCACCTCCCCCTTCGACACATGGAGATTACAATAAGGGATGAGATCTGGGTGGGGACACAGAGCCAAACCATACTGAGTAGCATCTACCTTGCAGGATGTTTGGGGTAAGAGGTCGGGTAATGTACACAATGTGCCTTCACAGTCACTGGCACGTGGTAAGATCTTAGTCAAGGGCAGCCGTCATTAATATACTGCAGAAGTGTGAGTGATTATGTGTAGGCTCGCTTCTCTAGGGAGAGGGTCTCCTACAGCTTTCATGAGATTCCTTAAGGGGTCCCTGATTCAAAAAATGTTAAGCACCACTCACTGCTTGAGAGGTTTAAAAATAGAGGAGTGTTAGGCAGCAGAGAGCCGTGTTTATGTGAACTAAACAGGGTGGTAGGAGCCTGGGGGCAGGGGAGCCAGTGTGGAGCCCTTCTGTCCATCTGTCGGACCCACCGTCCTTCCCTCCAGTCCCTTGATTATCAGGTGTTGCTGAGCACTGACTCGGACAGGCACCCTGCTAGATGCCGAGGGCACAGAGACCAAGAACACAGTGTCAGCGGGGAAGGAAGCTGGGTCGTGGCCAGTCTCCAAAGATGGCCCCCATCCCTCCTGCCACGCCTGTCCCACGAGGGCCCCTTCCCACGTGGAACCTGGGCTGGGTCTGCGGCTGGATCTAACGGGTAGAATGCAGTGAAAGTAAGGCTGTGCCAGTTCAGGTCCTAAGCCTTAAGAAGGCTGGCAGTTTCACGCTGTGGTTTTAGGAGCTCAGAGCCACCAGGTAAAAAATCCAGCTACCTTGCTGGAGAGATCGTGCACAGAGACCACATTAAGAGGAGAAATCCTCGCCAGGCACAGTGGCTCACGCCTGTAATACCAGCACTTTGGGAGGCTGACGCAGGTGGATCACCTGAGGTCAGTAGTTCGAGACCAGCATGACCAACACGGTCAAACCCCATCTCTACTAAATACAGAAAATTGGCCAGGCGTGGTGGCATGTGCCTGTAATCCCAGCTACTTGGGAGGCTGAGGCAGGAGAATCGCTTGAACCTGGGAGGCGGAGGTTGCAGTGAATTGAGATTGCGCCATTGCACTCCAGCCTAGACGACAGAGTGAAACTCTATCTCAAAAAAAAAAAAAAAAAAAAGAGAGAGAGAGCAGAAATCCTGAGGCCACATGGAGAGAGAGAGAGGCTCAGGTGTCTACACATCATAACTCAGTTCCCAAATGACTCCAGCCCCTGCCACCATCTGACTGCAACCACATGAGACACCTGGAGTGAGAACAACAGAAGAACCATCCTGCTGAGCCTGTTTGACCCACAGAGTCATGAGATCATTAACTTTTTTTCATGGACAGGACTATTGTAGTAAGAAATGGTTTTGTTTTAAGCCCTCGTGTTCAGAGTGGTTTGTTACACATGTGGAAATAAATGACCAACCAAATGAGAACCGGTAAAGGCTACTTATTCAGAGCTTTTATAGCAAGGGAGCCAGCCACCTCACTCAAATTCTGGCAGATAGTCCAGGCAGGCAGAGGAGTGGGCAAGTTTTATAGAGGAAAATGGGAAAGCTTCAAGCCTGCCCTGACTGGAGGCTGTTCGCTTAGGGAAGCTGGCGGCTGGCTAAGGGGAAGCAGCTCATCCACTGTGATCGGCTAGGGGAGCATATTTGGCTTTCTCTCTGGTTGGTCTGAAGTTAGAAGTGGGGACAAAAATGAGGGAAACTAATCAAGTCCTAGCTGTTCTGGGCAGACTGTTGCAGAGGTCCTTGTTTGGCTTCTCGGATTGTTTGCTAGAGACAGTGGTCCGGGCCGGGCATGGTGGCTCATGCCTGTAATCCCAGCACTTTGGGAGGCCGAGGCGGGTGGATCACAAGGTCAGGAGTTCAAGACTAGCCTGGCCAACATGGTGAAATCCTGTCTCTACTAAAAATAAAAAAATTAGCTGGATGTGGTGGTGGGTGCCTGTAATCCCAGCTACTCAGGAGGCTGAGGCAGGAGAATCGTTTTAACCTCGGAGGCAGAGGTTGCAGTGAACTGAGATTGCGCCACTGCACTCCAGCCTGGGTGACAGAGTGAGACTCCATCTCAAAAAAAAAAAAAAAAAAGGGACAGTGGTCCAGCTCCCCCACGAGTCTGACTTGTAGACAGCAGATTGGCTTCCTGGGCTGGTTGCTATAGATCATGGGTTGGTTTCCTGGGCTGGTTGCTGCAGACCATGGGTCAGAGTTCTATTTTTATATGTGGCCTGGCACTGTCCATTTGTGCCTCTAGTCTGTCACTCGGCGATAGATACCTACATGTAAACTGACAATTATGAGGCCAGGTCGAATGAACAGTGTTCTGGGTAAGCCCCAAAGGGGGACAATCCCCTTAGCCTGTGCCAAGTTCAAAGAACAAGTGCAATGAGCCAGGCAGGTGCGGGAAGGAGGGGCATCCCAGGGAGAGGGGACGGGTGACCTCAGGCCCGGGGATGTGCAGGAAGGAGGGGCATCCCAGGGAGAGGGGATGGTGTGACCCCAGGCCCGGGGATGGGAGGGAACATGGCACATGCAGGGAACATTAGCTCCTGAGTGCGCTGAGCTCCTGACTGCAGATGAGTGTTGGCTTCGAGCCCAGGGCAGAGTCAGAAATCCTCCTGCAAGAAGGGTCACAGAAATTGGGAGTGACACCATCGGAGCTGAGTTTTAGAAAAACTCCGATAGAGAAGGGGGAGTGGGGCCAGGCAAAGGCAGGAGATGAGTGAGGAGGCAGCTGATCTGTCAGGAGAGAGGACGGCCGGCCCGAGCTATGGGACTTGGTGAACCCGACTCAAGGGGAGAGGAGAAGGCAGCGTCCTGGGTTTCTGGCAGATGGAGGCGGTGGTAGTCACTGAGAGGGTGGCCCAGGAAGAGGGAAAGGGTTTGGACGGGGTGCTTTTCATTTGGGGAATGCTGAGGGGGCAGCCTCCAGGAGATTCCAGAGGACCTGTGCGGAAAGCAGTTCGGAATTGGAGTCGGCAGAGTGCTGAGATCAGGGGAATCTGGAGCCACCAGTATATGCACAGGTCACGGTGGCTCCCACGGGCTGTGGGTAAAATGAGAAGAGGTGCCCATGCCAGGGGCTGAGAAGGAACGTCCAGGAAAGTTGGAGTGGTCCCGGGTGGGCGTTGTGTCAAGGAAACCGAGAGGGGGAGATTTCAAGGGGACTTTGACCTCAGGGCAGTTGAGGCAAGACAGAGACTGGAGGCCGGGCCCGATGGCTCACGCCTGTAATCCCAGCACTTTGGGAGGCTGAGGCGAGTGGATCACCTGAGGTCAGGAGTTCGAGACCAGCCTGGCCAACATGGTGAAACCCCGTCTCTACTAAAAATTACAAAAATTATCCATGCGTGGTGGCAGGTGCCTGTACTCCCGGCTACTTGGGAAGCTGAGGCAGGAGAATCGCTTAAACCTGGGAGGAGGAGGTTGCAGTGAGCTGAGATGGCGCCATTGCACTCCAGCCTGGGTGACAGTGAGACTCTGTTTTAAAAAAAAAAAGAAAGAGAGAGACTGGAAAGTGTTGGGCTTGGGCAACAGCAGGAGTCTGCATGGCTGTCTGGGAGGAGGGGTAGAATTCCAGGTGTAGGGCTCGAAGAGGGAGAGGCCAGGGAGGAGGCGGCCTTTGGAGAAGTTTGCCTGTGAAGGGCAGGAGAGTGAGGCAGTGGCTGCAGGGAGATTTGGGTTGGGCGGGTTTTGTGGTTCAAGGGGAGAGGCTTGATCTGAGTCTACAGACAGACGGCGAGGCGTGGTGGGTAGCGGGGGCGGGGAGCTGAGGATGCTGAGGGGGCCATCTAGACCAGGAAGGCAGCTGTCAGAAGCCTTGGCCTCCGGCGGAATCCATGCTGCAGGTGGAGCTGTGTTGGCCCACACAGTGTTTTGTTTGTTTTGTTTGTTTTGTCGAATTTGCTGCCAACCAATTGCATGCAAAAATCCTGATTCCCAGCCTCTGGCAAAATCCAAAGAATTGATAACCCAGGGCCCCCTCTTCCTTCTGGGGAGGAGCGGCGGGAGCCTGGGGCCTGCAGAGGGGCCTGGCTCCTGGGTTGCCACCTGTACCACCTCCCTGCCCACTTTAGCCTCTTCTGTTTCCTGCGTGGCCTCTGAAATCATTTGAATTGAGACCTCGGGGTCAGGAGCAGTGAGAGAATGGGACCAGAGGCAGAGGGCCCATAATTCTGGGAGGGATGTGTGAGGATGCTGGGAAGGCCAGGGGCCAGGCCTGGAGGTGAGGTAGGGAGAGACTGGGCGAGGTTTGGAAGGGCCCCTGAAGGCAGTGAGGGAGGGGGTGAAGCTGGGAAGCCCTCAGTGGAGAAGAGCTTTGGTGGTGGCAATGCCGGAACTAGGTAAAATGTTAAACCAGGAACCAGTAGTGGCTCCATTCCCATCACAGGATGACAGAACCGGTTCTGGAGAGAAGCAGAGGGCAGAGGATCTCTGTGTCCTCTAGGAGCCTCCACACCCAACATCAGACCCTTGGCTATGTTAGTGGGTGGGGGCAGTCCCTGGAACTTCGGGCCACACAGACAGGGAACCCCAAGACAGAGACTGCCCTTCCCCAGCCCAGGGACTCTCCTAGGCTAGGAGCACGCTGAGATCGCTCCACTGAGCGCTGGGAAGCACTCCTGTCCAGGGAAGTTAGGCTGCTCCTTGGATTCCGGGTCAGAATCCTCTCCCTCCCTTGGGACAGGCCCTCAGGGAATGCTTTTCCTACACCCCCTCCCTCCATCGGTTTCCATCTGAAGCATCTTCTGCCTGCCCAGCTGTAGCCTTAGGCTGAGTTCTATTAGTTCCAGATGGGGCTTGCTCCTGACAGGAGAGGGGGCCTCGCCCCAGGGCCTCCCCAGGTAACAGCTCAACACACACCTCAAGACTGAAACATCCCCATTTGGACCCTTTTGCAGAGTGTTCAGCTCTCAGTCACACTGGGAATCGTACGCGGCTTGGACACATGTCACTGTACCACGTCGAGTTGGAATGTAATTAGGCGCTGGTGGGGAAAATTCCATCTGTCTCCTGGGAATACCGGAATAATGAGCCATCACAGAGGGGCAGGGAGGTGGGCGGGGGGCTGTTGACCTGAGCAGGAGGCTGGGCTCCTTCCTTAGCTCCAGAGCCGCTCGTGATGTGCTTGTCTTGGCTGTGTCAGCGAGCCTGCCCTGTTCTTGAGCTGGAAGCAGGAGCTTTAGTGGGGAGCCTGAGAGGGTGTTCTGGGCTTTGAAGCAGGGAAAGAGAGCGAGCCATCCCTCTCAGGGGTGGGGGGAAGGCAGAAGCCATAGTCCTCACCACAGGCACATGGCCTTTTGCTATACAGAGCCCAGACGAGGGCGGAGAGTCCTGGGGCTGAGGAGCTAGACTTCCCGCAAAAATGGGCTGGACAGGTGTCGGTCAGCGCTGAGGGCAGTGGGGGCCTGGCGGGGCCAGGGGTCTTTACCTGGAAAGTGAACTGGGAGAGGCCCCAGACCACCTCTACCTTGAGCCAACTCTCCTTTGCACCCCTGAGGGTCGCCCAGACCCATTCGGGGCTCCTGGCCTGCCCTGCTCCTCCACGGTAACTGGGTGTTTCAGAGGGGGGCCCACTCTGGCCTGCTTCCTGCTGCTTCCCACCCCAAAGGACAGTAAGTCCATGGGGCCAGGGAGATGGACCCACCCAGAGCCTGTGTTCCCCACTCAAGACCAACTCTGTGCAGCCACAGGTACATTAGATTTTCTAGTAGCCATATTAGAAAAGCAAACTGGACTGGGCGCAGTGGCTCATGCCTGTAATTCCAGCACTTTGGGAGGCCGAGGTGGGCGGATCACCTGAGGTCAGGAGTTCAAGACCAGCCTGACCAACATGGTGAAACCCCATCTCTACTAAAAATACGAAAAACGAGCTGGGCATGGGGGGCGCGCGCCTGTAATCCCAGCTACTTGGGAGGCTGAGGCAAGAGAATCACTTGAACCCGGGAGGCAGAGGTTGCAGTGAGGTGAGATCGCGCCATTGCACTCCAGCTTGGGCAACAAGAGTGAAACAACGTCTCAAAAAAAAAAAAGAAAGAAAGAAAAGAAAAGCAAACTGTAAGCCAGGCGCGGTGGCTCACGCCTGTAATCCCACCACTTTGGGAGGCTGAGGCGGGCGGATCACGATGTCAGGAGTTCAAGACCAGCCTGACCAATATGGTGAAACCCTGTCTCTACTAAAATTACAAAAATTAGCCAGGCGTGGTGGCGCACGCCTGTAGTCCCAGTTACTCAGAGGGCTGAGGCAAGAGAATCTCTTGAACACGAGAGGCGGAGGTTGCAGTGAGCCAAGATTGCGCCACTGCACTCCAGCCTTGGTGACACAGCGAGACTCCATCTCAAAAAAAAAAAAAAAAAAGAAAAGAAAAGAAATGCAAACTGTAACGGTGAAATTAATTAAAAAAATTTTTTTTTAGAGACAGGTTCTTGCTCTGTCGCCCAGGCTGGAGTGCACTGGTGTGATCTCGGCTCACTGCAAGCTCCGCCTCCCAGGTTCACGCCATTCTCCTGCCTCAGCCTCCCGAGTAGCTGGGACTACAGGCGCCCGCCACCACGCCCGGCTAATGTTTTGTATTTTTAGTAGAGACGGGGTTTCACCATGTTAGCCAGGATGGTCTCAATCTCCTGACCTCATGATCCACCTGCCTTGGCCTCCCAAAGTGCTGGGATAACAGGCGTGAGCCACCACACCCGACCTGTGTGGCTAATTTTTAAATTTTTTGTAGAGATGGGGGTCTTGCCATGTTGCCCAGGCTGGTCTCGAACTCCTGGACTTAAGCAACCCTCCCACTTCAGCCTCTCAAAGAGCTGGGATTCCAGGCGTGAGGAGCCACACTGGGCCTAAAATATTTTTATATTTAACCAAATATATTCAAAATATGATATTGCAATATCAACATGCAATCAATATAAAATTATTCATGAGGTATTTTTATTCTTTTTCTTACTAAGTCTTTGAAGTGAGCACATTTCAAGTTTTTGGAAGCCACGTGTGCGTAGCAGCTACTATGCTGGACAGCGCAGCCCCAGACTGTTCCGGAGGCTTGAGACCCCAGAACGCTTTTCTCAAGTGACTCCCACCTGCCTCCAGGACCTCCTCCCCATTAGAACTCCCAAGGGCAGGCCCGGCGCGGTGGCTCACGCCTGTAATCCAGCACTTTGGGAGGCCGAGGCAGGTGGATCACCTGAGGTCGGGAGTCTGAGACCAGCCTGACCAACATGGTGAAATCCTGTCTCTACTAAAAATGCAAAATGAGCCGGGCGTGGTGGCGCCTGTGATCCCAGCTACTCGGGAGCCTGAGGCAGGAGAATGGCGTGAACCCGTGAAGTGGAGGTTGCGCTCAGCCGAGATCGCACCACTGCACTCCAGCCCGGGCAACAAGAGCGAAACTGTCTCAAAAAAAGAAAAAGAAAAAGAAAAAACTCCGAAGGGCAGATTGCACCCGGAAGCTTGAGAGTTGGGAAGGGCCAAGAGCCTGGTTTGCCTCCATGGTGAAGTGCAAATTCCCATAGATTTGTTCTCCTTCTCACCTCAAAATCCGCTCTGATCCTAGAGGCCCAGGTGATGACAGCTATGGGGTGCCGAGTGGCAAAGGCGGGTGGACACAGCCCAGAGGCAGCAGGGAGCCCCTGAAGGTGGCGGGCAGTAGGGATCCAGCAGAGGCAGCCTGGACAGGCCTGGCTGGCAGAGGGAGAGAAGGTGGGGGAGCTGCAGTCCACAGACAGGTTAATGGCTCCTACCTCGCCCACAATTGAATTTGCCCTTGTGAGCCTCCTGGCTTTGGGCAAGGGCCTCTCCTCCTGGGAGCTCAGCTGGACTCCCAGAGCCACGGGGCTGGGTCAGCCAGGCCTGATTCAATCAAGAGAAATGAAGGACACGGGGCTCACAGACAGCTCTACGCCCAGAGGGGCTGGTGGCTCAGCCCAGAAAGATGAGGCTGGGGAGGGCCAATGGGAAGCCATCCCAGGTCCATCCCAGCTCTGCCTTCCTCCTAGGAACCCAAAGAGCGGGGACCCTCCTCTGACCATTAAAACACAGTTGACAAGCCAGGTGCTGTGGCTCATGTCTGTAATTCCAACTACTCAGGAGGCAGAGGCAGGAGGATCGTTTGAGCCCAGGAGTTCGAGGTTGCAGTGAGCTATGATTATACCTCTGCACTCCAGCCAGGGCAACTGAGTGAGACCCTGTCTCTTAAAAAAAAAATAAAATAGAGTTGGCAATGATCTGTAATATACTTCATTGCCCTCCCTACCTTCCCACATCTCTTTTTTTTTTTTTTTTTTCTGAGATCGAGTCTCCCTCTGCCGCCCAGGCTGGAGTGCAGTGGTGCGATCTCGGCTCACTGCAACCTCTGCCTCCTGGTTCAAGCTATTCTCTTACCTCAGCCTCCCGAGTGGCTGGGGTTACAGGCACACCATCCTGCCCGGCTAGTTTTTGTATTTTTAGTAGAGACGAGGTTTCACCATGTTGGCCGGGCTGATCTCGAACTCCTGACCTCAAATGATCCACCTGCCTCGGCCTCCCAAAGTGCTGGGATTACAGGTGTGAGCCACCACCCCTGGCCTTCCCATGACTCTTAAAAGGTGGTTACAAGATGATTTTAAATCAGAAAACTGGAAACTACACCAGGCGTGATGGCGAGCACCTGTAGTCCCAGCTACTCGGGAGGCTGAGGCAGGGAGAATCACTTGAACCCGGGAGACGGAGGTTGCAGGGAGCTGAGATTGCACCACTGCATTCCAGCCTGGGCGACAGAGTGAGACCCCATCTCAAAAAATAAGTAAATAAAAAGAAAACTGGTAACTAGTCTGTTTTTTCTTTTTCTTTCTTACTTCTTTTCTTTTTTCTTACTTTCTTTTTTTTTTTTCCAGAGAGGGTCTTGATTTGTCATCTAGGATAAAGTGCAGTAACGCACCATGGCTCATGGCAGTCTTCACCTCCCAGGCTCAAGCAATCCTCCCACCTCTGCCTCCTGAGTAGCTGGGACTGCATGCACGTGCCACGCCTGGCTAATTTTTTTTTTTTTTTTAAGAGATAGGGTCTTGCTGTGTTGCCTAGGCTGTTCTGAAACCCCTGGACTCAAGTGATCCTCTTACCTCAGCCTCCCAAAGCACTGGGATTATAAGCATGAGCCACCACGCCCGGCCTGCTTTTCTTTTCTTTCTTTCTTTTCTTTCTTTTCTTTTCTTTTTTTTTTTTGAGGCAGAGTCTCGCTCTGTAGCCCAGGCTGGAGTCCAATGGTGTGATCTTGGCTCACTGCAACCTCCACCTCCCGGGTTCGAGCGATTCTCCTGCCACAGCCTCCCAAGTAGCTGGGATTACAGGCACATGCCACCACGCCCTGCTAATTTTTTTTTTTTTTTTTTTTTTTTTGTATTTTTAGTGGAGACAGGGTTTCACCATGTTGGCCAGGCTGGTCTTGAACTCCTGACCTCAAGTGATCTGCCCGCATCGGCCTCCCAAAGTGCTGGGATTACAGGCATGAGCCACCGCGCCTGGCCCCGGCCTACTTTTCTTTGTGTCTGTGGGGTGTCCAGAGCACACTAGGACAAGAGTGGGAGGAGGGAAGAAGAAACGAACAAAAGAGACTCCACCCTTTCTTTCCTCTCAGTCCCTTACGTGTTGTATCAAACCCAACTCCCAGACCTGTGTTAAATGTTCTCTCTGTGGGAGGCCAGTGAATGCCAATCAGTTAGGGGACAAATTGCAAACTAGAGAGGCCGTCACGTGACTCCTACCGTGACTGCTGTCTCCCTCTCTCGCGCCTCCAGGCCTCCGCCCATGCGGTTCCTTCTGCCTGGAATGCCCTGCCCCGTCGTCCTCCAATGCCCCTTCCACCCCGAAGGCCAGCTGAGCTTCTAGTCATCCTTCCAGGCCCCCCTTCCCTTCGTGACTTTTCCTGGTTACTCCTCCCCTCCCCAGCAGCACCGCTTTCTTCCTTCCTTGGCTGTTTCTTTATCTTTGTAGATGGCTTCATCCGAGTGCTTGATAGTGAACCGGCTCATTCAATCCACAAATAATTGCTGAGCACTACCTGGGTGCCTGGCCCTGTCCCGGGGATGGGGATATCACAGGGAGCGACAAGGGGAAAGACAATAAATGTGTAAACAAATAATTAAGCAAGGTGCTCTCAGAGAGTGTTAGGTGCTGAAAGGGAAATAAATAGGGCTGGGTCCTTATGACATTGAGAGTGGCCAGGAGCAGAGGGGCCGTGGGCATCGGCTGGAGACAGGGAGGTGACTTTTGAGCCAAGACAAATGTTAAGAAGGAGATGGTCCCCCAAAGGCCTGGGGCAGAGAGGGCCCCGTGGGAACCGTCAGTGTGAAAACTCCGAGGCCAACGTGCTATGATCCATTTGTATGAAATATCCAGAAGAGGCCAATCCACAGAGACAGAAAGCAGCAGATTAGTGTTTGCCAGGGGCTGGGGGAGGGAGAATGGGGAGTGACTGCTAAGGGGGATGGAGTTTCCTTTTGGGGTGAGGAAAACGTTCTGAGCCAGATAGTGATGATAGTTGCGAATATGCTGCGTGCCAGTGAATTGTACGCTTTAAAATGTTAACTTTTAGTTATTTATTTGTAATAAAAATGTGTATATTTTACAAGAAAACAAAGCCTCCAAGGCAAGAATGAGCTCGCTGTGGTCTAGGAACAGAGGCCAGTGCAGCTAGCGCTGTGAAGAGTGGCGCAGGACGGGGCTGGAGAGGGAGGTGGGGCCGCTCACGAGGGCGACGTGGGCTGGTGAGCAGCCTGCATTTTATTCTGGTGCAATGGAAAGCCACTGAAGATTTCGAGCAGGAAAGTAACATGATAGCACTTACTGTTTTTGAAGATCCTTCTGGCTGTGCTTAGGCTGTGGGTGGTGATGGGGCTGCAATATAAACAGGGAGACCAGTGAGGGTGGCCACGGCAGAGGTCCAGGGAACAGAAGAGAGTGGCCCAGGGTAGGGTGGGGGTGGTGGGGGCGGGGTGATGTGAATTTGGGATGTATTTTGACGGTGGGGCCAGTGGGACTTAGTGGATTAAAGGAAGAGATGATGAAGGAAAGGGAAGAATGGAGAATAACACCTGCATTTCCAGCTTGAGCAGCCGAAATGCTACAGGTGTCACCTGCTGAGACAGGGAAGCCTACACGGTGAACACAGGACAATCGGAGTTTGAGCTGCTTATTAGATACTAACGTGGCAGTGCCAGGCGGGCAGGCGGGTGGACTGGTCTGCAGTTTAGAGCCAGAACACATGTCTAATCCCCACCCCTATGAAGATGGTATTTAAAACCTGAGCCTGGCTGGGCGCGGTGGCTCACGCCTGTAATCCCAGCACTTTGGGAGGCCGAGGTGGGTGGATCACGAGGTCAGGAGTTCGAAACCAGCTGGGCCCACATGGCGAAACCCCGTCTCTACTAAAAATACAAAAATTAGCTGGGCGTGGTGGCGGGTGCCTGTAATCCCAGCTACTCAGGAGGCTGAGGTGTGAGAATCGTTTGAACATGGGAGGTGGAGGTTGCAGTGAGCCGAGATCGTGCTACTACACTCCAGCCTGGGTGACACAGTGAGACTCTGCCTCAAAACAAAACAAAACAAAACAAAGACTTGGGCCTGGACAAGCTCACCTGGGGACAGGTGTGACTACAGAAGAGAGAAGTTTCAAGGGCTGAGCTCTGGGGATTTAGGTGTATGTGGTCATCAGGCCGGGAAGAGCAGACCAAGAAGAAGCAGGCAGCAAGGCAGACAAGACGACAGAGCCAGGTCTCTGAAGAGAAGAGAAGAAAGAGTTTCCAGAGGGGAGGGCCAACTGTGTCCAGTGCTGCCAAGGTGAGCAGATTAGGATGAAGAAGACACTATTAGATTCAGCAATACCATGATAGGACTGCCTCTCTGGTGAGTCTGAGCACCCAGCACATAGTAGGTGCTTATTAAAGGCCAGAGGCATGAAATGATTAGTTTCTGCACTGTGTGCCATAGACTGCCCAGAGTATAAGGGTCTCAGCCAGAAACCTAGGATCAAGGGAAGTGGCCAAGAGGCCTGGGCCACCCCGGAAATAAAAGGAGCCATTGTCAGGTGGAGGCCGGGGGAGCCCAGCGGAGCCCAGGATTCCCGCTCGCCCACCGGCGTGTTTTGAGAGGGCCTCACCCTCCGCGTCTTTTCCCTTTTGCCTCTCAGGAGGTGATTCATATTTCAATATATTCCAGCTGAAAAAGGATCAGATTTTGAGCAGGTGGTAAGTCAGTACATGGAAATTTGATATATTTTGACTAATGCAGTTTGAAATTTGAAAACTGCAGACAATTTTATTCAAGATCCATTTTTATACCAACTCATTATTGGGGGGAAAAGGCAAGATTTCAGGCTTCCGGAGGAGGACGTGTGAACCCAGGCCTGTCACCAGCAAGCCCTGCTAAGCAGGCTTGATCTGGCCGGCCGGCCCGCACGCTGCTGCCAGCTGCCTGCCTCAGCTGCTGCACGATCCTGCCGGAACTGTTTCTTTAGCAACCTCTTTCAAGTATCCCCTGGGGTTACTAGTCCAATTTAATCTGACCTTCAGCCCCACCTCTGTCGTGCCAACTCCAGCAAATCCCTGGGGCTGGCACTTAAGACAAGTTTTGTGATACCGATGATGGTATTACACAGAATTTCCACTTCCTTCCCCAACCGCCTTGTCCATTTCCCCGGCCTCATGAGTGTGAAGCACAAGAAGAGGGAATTAATAATGAAAACAGGGGAGGAATGAAGTTATTGGCAAGGGAGCAAAGACACGGCTCATGGGAGGTGGGGACGGGGTGCCTGGTGGGGCACTGGCGGGGGCCGATGCTGGGAGAGGGGTCTCTGTGCAGCAGCGGCCTCTAAGGAGAGAGATGTCTCCTCCCACGGTCGGATGCCACGGCAATCTTGTTTGAATCTTGACTCCACCATTTTGGACAAATCACTTCGCTTTGGTTTTATTTTTGTTTTTGTTTTTGAGACACAATCTCACTTTGTCTCCCAGGCTGGAGTGCAGTGGTGCAATCACAACCCATAGCAACCTTTGAACTCCTGGGCTCAAGCTATCCTCCTCAGCCTCTCAAGTAGCGGGGACTACAGGTGTGCCCTGACATGCCGGGCTAATTTTTTTTTATTTTTTATTTTTTTAGTTTTTGTAGAGATGGGTCTCACTGCATTACCCAGGCTGGTCCTGAACTCCTGGGCTCAAGTGATCCTCCTGCCTCGGCCTCCCAAAGTGTTGGGATTACAGGTGTGAGTGCTGCAACCCACCATCTCACTTTGTTTGTTTGTTCGTTTGTTTGTTTGTTTTGTTGTTGTTGTTTGAGACAGAGTCTCACTCTATTGCCCAGGCTGGAGTGCAGTGGTGCAATCTAGGCTTAGTGCAACCTCCACCTCCTGGGTTCAAGCGATTCTCCTGCCTCAGCCTCCCGAGTAGCTGGGATTACAGGTGCCCGCCACCAACATGCCCGGCTAATTTCTGTATTTTTAGTAGAGGCGGGGTTTCACCATGTTGGCCACGCTGGTGTCAATCTCCTGACCTCAGGTGATCCACCCGCCTCAGCCTCCCAAAGTGCTGGGATTACAGGTGTGAGCCACTGCACCCGGCCCTGCCACCTCACTTTGTTGAGCTTCATTTTTCTCAAGTGTAAAATGAGGCTATTAATACCCTTATAATAATTGAGAGGAGACTGTTCAAAGCGTGTATGTGGACACCCCCAGCGTGGGTAGGCCTGGCACACAGAAGGGGTCCAGCACATGTTAACCCCCTTCCCTTCCCCACGGTCTCCTCTTCATATGAGGCTCACGGGCCTGGTCTGTTTTACATAGCTCACGGGCCAGTTGGGAAGGCAAACAGAGGAAAGGGTTGAATCTCTGAGAGCTCCCACAGCTGGTGATTTTCCGAGTGTAGAACTTGAGGTTTTAGGAGCTGAATGTTCTGAAAGGTGACTCATCAGCAAATGTCAGGAGCACTTGGACTCAACCAATCTGATCTAAGGAAAGGATCAGGTATTTGAACCAAGCCGTGAGCACAAAGATGTTCATTCCAACGTTATTTAGTTTTAATTTAACTGACTCTTGAAAAGAATCAATAGATACAGTCATGTGGTAATACATCAAAAGTTCCTGGCTGGGCGCGGTGGCTCACGCCTGTAATCCCAGCACTTTGGGAGGCCAAGGCGGGTGGATCACCTGAGGTCAGGAGTTCGAGACCAGCCTGGCCAACATGGTGAAAACCCGTCTGTACTCAAAATACAAAAGCCGGGCGTGGTGGTGGACGCCTGTAATCCCAGCTACTCGGGGAGTGCTGACGAAGGAGAATCACTTGAACCGGGAGGCAGAGGTTGTAGTGAGCTGAGATCGCACCATTGCGCTCTAGCCTGGGCGACAGAGTGAGACTCCATCTTAAAAAAAAAAAAAAAAAAAAAAGTTCCCGACAGGTATGCAGTGATGTTTCCCTCACCCCAGACCCTGAGCTCCCCTGCAGCCCTCCCAGGAGGCAACTGTTACCAATTTCTGCCATGATCATTTGTAACAGTGAAAAATGAGAAACGATCTAACTCTTTCACGGATAAATAAATTACAGTCTGTCCATGCAGTGGGATACTCTGCAGTCTCTAAACATCGTGCCTGTTACCGCATCCCTCTTCTGTTAAGTAACTGTGCATTGCCTCTGGCCCCAGGCCCTCAGCCTAGACTACTGCTTCTGGCTGGAACCCGCCCCCCCACCAGGCCCCCACTTGAGTCCTCAGCCTTCAGACTCTCCAAGACTTCACACCCCCACTGATGACTCTCCGAGGCTGTCCAAGGCTTCACACCCCCACTGATGAGGGAAACCCCGCAGTTCTCATAGCTACCTGGATCTTTCGCCGTACGCGTTAGGAGCTGCGATTGTATCTGGGCGTGGTGTTTGACGAGTGCCTGTTTACCTATTCGCCTGCACCCCGCTGGGTGGTGGGGCCCCTCTGCCTGCTGAGCTGCCTGCTGCTTCCTTAGTACACAGCCTCAAAGATAGAGACCCCCTGAGAGCTGCTGAATGAATGGAATGGTCTTAAGTAGAAAATGCGGGATACAGAACTCCATATATAGCATGATCCCAATTTTATTTCTTTAAATAAAATTTTTATTTAAATTTTATATAGCTCCATATAAAAAGGGAAGTATTGAAAGAAGATACAGCAAGGCTCTGTCAATGGTTGTCAAGGGTAATGGGACTGTAGTGATTTTTCTTCCTTTTTACTTCTATACTTTTCATGTTTTCCACAACTGGCAAGTCTTATTTAATTCAATAATAATTATTTCATACCTGTAATCGCAGCACGTTGGGAGGCTGAGGCGGGCGGATCACTTGAGTTCAGGAGTTCGAGACCAGCCTGGCCTACATGGCGAAACCCTGTCTCTACTAAAAATACAAAAATTCGCCGGGCATGGTGGTGGGCGCCTGTAATCCCAGCTACTCAGGAGGTTGAGATGGGAGAATCGCTTGAACCCGGGAGGTGGAGGTTGCAGTGAGCCGAGATCGCGCCACTGCACTCCAGCCTGGGCGACAGAGTGAGACTTTCTCTCAAAAAATAATAATAGTAATAATAATAACTATTATTATTATTATTTTGAGATAGGGTCTCACTCTGTTACCCAGGCTGGAGTGCAGTGGCATGATCATGGTTAACAGCAGCCTTGACCTCCCGGGCTCAAGTGATCCTCCCGCCTCAGCCTCCTGAGTAGCTGGGATTACAGGCATGTGCCACCACAGCCGGCTCATTGTTAAAATGTTTTATAGAGATGGAGTCTCACTATGTTGCCCAGGCTATCTCAAACCCCTGGACTCAAGCCATCCTCCTGCCTTGACCTCCCAAATTATTGGCATTACAAGTGTCAGCCACCTCACCCAGCCCTGGCAAGTATTATTTTGAAAGTAAATAAAGATGAGTGATATTAAATAAAAACCTTACAGGGAGAAATAGGGTTGGGGACCGCACACAAGGCCTATGCTAAATGCTACCTGGGCTCAACCTCCTGGGCCTGAGGTCACAGACTGGCAGGGGCTCGTGGCTGGTGAGAGGTAGGTCCCTAGTGAAAGGGCGGCGCTCAGGCTGACAGAGAAGAGAAGGTAATTTAAGGCCTGGGACCGGAGATTCTTAGAGACTGCAGGCATCTCAAGCAGCCAGTGAGGAGAAATCCTGCAGAGGGTCCGAGGAGAATTATCTGTGAGCTGAGGCTGGAAATGGCTGGTAGTCAACTTATCCTGTAAGCATAAGTTACCTACCCTGGGGTCGTCTGGCTGCTGCAACTTATTATATATCTCCATTTACCCACAATAAGGCCACCTGGGGTTTTTGCTTTTGACTGGAATGACATCAGCTAAATCATTCATTCATTCATTGACTTGACAGACAGCAGGATGACCTCTATGTACCAGGAACCAGTTGGACGCGCAGCAGTGCTGCGCCTCTGGGGTGGAGAGAGAAGAGAGTGGGAGTGGCTGGGCGCAGTGGCTCCTGTCTGTAATCCCAGCACTTTGGGAGGCCGAGGCGGGTGGATCATCTGAGGTCAGGAGTTCGAGACCAGCCTGGCCAACATGGTGAAACCCCGTCTCTACTAAAAATACAAAAACTAGCTTGGCGTGGTGGTGAGCACCTGTAATCCCAGCTACTTGGGAGGCTGAGGCAGGAGATGACTTGAACCCAGGAGGCGGAGGTTGCAGTGAGCTGAGATCGTGCCACTGCACTCCAGTCTGGGTGGCAAGAGCGAGACTCCATCTCAAAAAAAAAAAAAAAAAAAAAAGGAAGGAAGCAAGGAAGGAAGGGAAGGGAAAGGAAAGGAAAGGAAGAGTGAGTCCAGGGAGGCTTCTGGAGCAGGTCCCATCTGAGCCAAATCACAGAGTTGCCCAGTATGTAAGTTAGACTTTTTTTTAGTAGTAAGCAAGAGAAATCTTGTCTGACTGACTGAGCAAAAAAGGAACTCATTGGAAGGCGTGTTGGGACACTTCTGGACACAAGTAATTGAAAATCCAACCCAAAATGGCTTAAACAGAAAGAGGACATACTACCATGTTCTATGACAAGAAGTTTGGAAATTCCAGCATTGGTTGACTCATTGGCTTAACAAGATCACTGTGGACACAGGTTCTCTCCGTTTTACTCTGTAGTCCTGGCAAGCTGACATTAGCCTTTGGGCTGGTCCCTTCATGGTTGAAAGATGGGGCTTCAGGGCCATGCATTTCATGCTCGTCCAGCCACACCCAGAGGCAGGAGGTAGAACATCTCTTCCTTGTATCTCCCAATCCTTTAAAAAAAATTTAATGGCCAGGCACGGTGGCTCATGCGTGTAATCCCAGCACTTTGGGAGGCCAAGGCGGGTGGGTCACTTGAGGTCAGGAGTTCGAGACCAGCCTGGCCAACATGGTGAAACCCCGCCTCTACTAAAAATACAAAAATTAACCGAGCTTGGTGGTGCTCGCCTGTAATCCCAGCTACTCAGGAGGCTGAGGCAGGAGAATCGCTTGAACCCAGGAGGTAGAGGTTGCAGTGAGCCGAGATCACGCCACTGCACTCCAGCCTGGTGACAGAGTGAGACTCTGTCTCAAAAAAAAATTTTTTTTTTAATTCAATTTTTTTTATACTTTGAGTTCTAGGGAACATGTGCACAACGTGCAGGTTTGTTACATATGTATACATGTGCCATGTTGGTGTGCTGCACCCATTAACTCATCATTTACATTAGGTATATCTCCTAATGCTATCCCTCCCCCCAATTTTAATTTTTGAGACGGGATCTCGCTCTACCCAGGCTGGAGTACAGTGGTGTAATCATGGCTCACTGCAGCCTTAAGCTCTTGGGCTCAAGTGATCTTCCCGCCTCAGCCTCCTGAGTAGCTGGGACTACAGGTGCATGCCACTGTGCCCAGCTGATTTTGTATTTTTTGTAGAGATGGGTTCTAACTATGTTGTCCAGGTTGGTCTCAAACCCTGGGCTCAAACAATCCTCCCATCTTTGCCGCCCAAAGTGCTGGGATTACAGGCATGAGCTACCATGTCTCGCCTTAATTTTTATTTTTTAATATTTATTTATTTTATTTTATTTTATTTTATTTTTTGAAACTAGATCTCACTCTGTCACCCAGAATACAGTGGCACAATCTCGGCTCACTACAGCCTCTGCCTCCTGGGTTCAAGCAGTTCTCCCACCTCAGCCTCCCGAGTAGCTGGGACTACAGAGGCACGCCACCACACCCGACTAATTTTTGCATTTTTAGTAGAGATGGGGTTTCACCATGTTGACCAGGCTGGTCTTGAACTCCTGACCTCAGGTGATCAACCCCCCTCAGCCTCCCAAAGTGCTGGGATTACATGCTCCTGTTTAAACCAACCCCAGACAGTGAAGTAGACAAAGACTCACCCCCGGCAGGAGAGGAGCCCGGCTCCTCTAGAGGAGCACATGGTTGCCTCTGAAGGAAATTTGGATCCTGATTGCCAAGAGGAGGGGGGTTGGGTGGACCTGTGCAGAATGAAAATGGGGGAGGAGAGGCCGGGTGTGGTGGCTCACGCCTGTAATCCCAGCACTTTGGGAGGCTGAGGCGGGTGGATCACGAGGTCAGGAGTTCAAGACCAGTCTCACCAACATGATGAAACCCCGTCTCTACTAAAAATATGAAAAAATTAGCCGGGCGTGGTGGTGGATGCCTGCATTCGCAATCCCAGCTATTCAAGAAGCTGGGGCAGGAGAATCACTCGAACCCGGGAGGCAGAGGTTGCAATGAGCCGAGATCGCACTACTGCACTCCAGCCTGGGCGACAGAGTGACACTCCATCTCAAAAAAAAAAAAAAAAAAAAAACCAACCTCCCTTGACCCATGCCCCTCCAAGTCCAGCCCCGTTTCTCCGCTGCCCCTCATGGCAAAACGTCATGCAGCGTGGTCTCTGGGTGCTCACAGATATTCACTATTCCCCAAACTCCCCTGGGGGTATTCGTGCATGATGGCAGCTGGACCCCGTGACTTACTTTGACCAATGAAATGTGAGCAGGAGAGACATGTGTCGTTTGAAACAAAAGGGCAAGGGCCACGTGCACAAGTCTTTCCCTTCTGCTAGGAGAGCAGCAGCTTCTGGGTAGAGGGTGCCCTCTCAGCCCAGGTCCTGGAGCAGAGCCTCAGCCGTCCTGCTGTCCCTGAGCCATTAGAATTCTGAGTCCCTCGTGATTTCAGCACCACCCGCCTGTCCTGGCTCCCCCACCTCACTCACATTCGATCTTCATCCCACTCCATATGCCTTCTGCCTCCGCCTTTCTGCCAGGAAGGAACTTTCCAGTGGCCTCCAAGTCGCCAAATCAGTGGGGCGCTTCTCTGTCCTCACGTTAGTCTTCGGCAGTCCTCATCACAGTTGATTATCCCTCTTCCTGAAAAACTTTGTGGCTTCGGGCCGGGCGCGGTGGCTCACGCCTGTAATCCCAGCACTTTGGGAGGCCGAGGCAGCTGGATCACCTGAGGTCAGGAGTTCGAGACCAGCCTGACCAACATGTGGTGAAACCCCATCTCTACTAAAAATACAAAAGTTAGCCAGGTGTGGTGGCGTGTGCCTGTAATCCCAGCTACTCAGGAGGCTGAGGCAGGAGAATCGCTTGAACTCGGAGGCAGAGGTTGCAGTGAGCCGAGATCGCACCACTGCACTCCAGCCTGTGAGACAGAGCGAGACTCTGTCCCAAAAAAACAAACAAACAAAAAAACAACAAAAAAAACTTTGTGGCTTCGGTAAAGCCACACTTTCCTGGTTTCCTCTCACCTTACTGGCGGTTCCTTCTCCTTGGCTGACTCCTCCTTTCCCCTCCACAAAAGCATTGTGTCGCGAAAAGCCTCAATCCTGTTTGTTTACTATTTTTTGTTAATAAAATTTAATATTTTTTTTTTTGAGACGGAGTCTCGCTCTGTCGCCCAGGCTGGAGTGCAGTGGCGTGATCTTGGCTCACTGCAAGCTCCTTCTACCAGGTTCATGCCATTCTCCTGCCTCAGCCTCCCGAGTAGCTGGGACTACAGGTACCCACCACCACACCTGGCTAATTTTTTGTATTTTTAGTAGAGATGGGGTTTCACCGTGTTAGCCAGGATGGTCTCGATCTCCTGACCTCGTGATCCACCCTCCTCAGCCTCCCAAAGTGCTGGGATTACAGGCGTGAGCCACCGCGCCCAGCCATGGAGTAGCTATTCTTTAGTTCCTTTACTTTCTTAACAAACTTCCTTTCACACACAGAGAAAGAGAGACAGAGAGAGAGAGAGAGTCTCAGTATGTTGCCAAGTAGCCTTTTTTTTTTTTTTTTTTTTTTTTTTTTGGAGACTGTGTCTCACTCTGTCGCCCAGGTTGGAGTGCGGGGGTGTGACCTCAGCTCATTGCAACCCCTGCTTTGGGGGTTCAAGCGATTCTCAGCCTCAGCCTCCCAAGTGGCTGGGATTACAGGTGCGCGCCACCACACCCGTCTAATTTTTGTATTTTTAGTAGACATGAGGTTTAACCATGTTGACCAGGCTGGTCTCAAACTCCTGAACTCAAGTGATCCACCTGCCTCAGCCTCCCAAAGTGCTGGGATTCCAGGCGTGAGCTGCTGCCCCGGCTTCATTCCCACCAATTTACACGCCCGCTCTGTGCCGACAGCTCTTGAGTGTACAGCCAACCTCTGGGCTTCAGTTTTGTACTTCCAGCTGCAGCCAACTAAACATCTCTCTAAGGCTTCTCGGACGTTATGCATCCTCAGCTGTGCCCTGGCTGCCCTGAGCCGGTTTTCCTGTTTTATTCCTCCAGTCTCATAGTGATACCCTCATCCTGTCCGTCTTCTGGAATAGACTTGGGAAGCCGCCCCGTGACCCCCGTCGCCTCCCTCACCCTGATCCGTCAGTGTGTCCTGTCGGGCCCCATCCTGGCATCTGTCCGGTCCATTCAGCACTGTCTGTCTCCATGGCCCCTGCCCTCTTCAGGCCCCCAAGGTCTCTCACGGCCACAGGCCTCCCTCCTTGCTCCCCCCCAACTCACCCTCCAAATGCAACCTCCCAAATCCAAACCCAATCCTGTTGCTCCCGCCCCGGGCTCTTCAGTGACTTCTCATCACACTCAGAATTAGATCCAAACCCTTTCTGGTGGTGTTTCAGGCCATACGAGGCCTGGCTCCTGCTGTTCTGACCCCATCTCCTGCCCCTCTGCCCTTGTCCAAGCCAAGCTCAGTCCTGCCTCAGGGCCTTTGCACCTGCTGTGCCCTCTGCCTGGAATGCTGTTCCTCAGCTCCTTCTTATCTTTTAGGTTTCAATTCAGAAGTCGCCCAGGGAGGGAGGCCCTCCAAGAGCACACAGCTAAGATAGGTCCCTTCCTTTGTCTCTATCTCAACCCTTTTTGTCCCCAGCACTTACCATGATCCGTCATTTGGGGCTTATCTGGTTCCTTTATTTTGACTGCACCCCCAGGAGAATGTAGGCCCCAGGAGGGAAGGAGCCGAGCCTCTTGCTGCTGTGGAAGCAAACCCGGAGCTCAGTCACTCTCGTGAATGAAGGAGTGGGGATAGATTCAGAACCGGGTGATGGACAGGATCTGGGCTGCGCTCAGAGCTCTAGATGCCGGTTCTGAATGCCTTTCACTGATCGCAGGGAAGGGGCGGGTCTTCGGGGCTGGGGAACAAGGACCCTGGCAGGGCGTTCTGCACCTGCTTCTCAAAGGCAGGCTCCCAGCTCCTGTTTTGCATTGTTGACACCTTGGCCTGCCCGTGAGCACCAGGGCCTTCAAGAACAGTGGGTCTTGGCCAGGCGTTGTGGCTCACGCCTGTAATCCCAGCACTTTGGGAGGCTGAGGCGGGCGGATTACCTGAGGTCAGGAGTTGGAGACCAGCCTGGCCAACATGGTGAAACCCCGTCTCTACTAAAAATACAAAAATTAGGCCAGGCACGGTGGCTCACGCCTGTAATCCCAGCACTTAGGGAGGCCGAGGCGGGCAGATCATGAGGTTCGGAGATTGAGAACACCCTGGCTAACACAAGAAAACCCCGTCTCTACTAAAAATACAAAAAAAAAAATTAGCCAGGTGTCGTGGCAGGCGCCTGTAGTCCCAGCTACTCTGGAGGCTGAGGCAGAAGAATGCCTTGAACCCGGGAGGCGGAGCTTGCAGTGAGCCGAGATCATGCCACTGCACTCCAGCCTGGGCGACAGAGCGAGACTCCGTCTCAAAAAAAAACAAAAATTAGCCAGGCGTGGTGGCAGGTGCCTGTAATCCCAGCTACTCAGGAGGCTGAGGCAGGAGAATGACTTGAGCCCAGGAGGCGGAGGTTGCAGTGAGCCAAGATTTCACCACTGCACTCCAGCCTGGGCGACTGAGATTGTCTCAAAAAAAAAAAAGAAAAAGAAAAGAAAACAGTAGGTCCCCACCCCACGCCCTCCCCCTCACACCCCTCCTGGACCCCCAGGCAGGCATCACAAACAGACATTTGCCACCGAGGACGGTCTCGTCGCCACGGAGGTAACCCCTGCCCCACTAAACACACCTATGGTATCACTGAGGACTTGGTGGGCCCATCCGCCCGTCCGCCCGTCCACCTGTGTCTGCCCGTCCGCCTGTGTCCGCCTGTCTGCCTGTGTCTGCCTGTCTGCCTGTCTGCCTGTCCGGCAGTGGGTGGTCCACAATTAGCTGTAGCTTTGGGGGAGGGGCAGTTGGCTCCACAAGGTGCCAAGCTCAGACGCAGGGCCCAGAGCCTTCACTGAAACCTCCTGGGAAGGGCAAGCTCTCAGAAGCCCTCGGCCTTCAGCCCTGGAGTCTGCGCTGCCACAACTCAGGTTCTGGGGCCCCCAAACCTGGGAGCAAATTTGCATAACGGGACACATTTTATGAGCCCTGGAAAGCAGGGGCTACAGGAGGTGGAAATAGAGGCCACGGGCCCTGGGCTTCCTGCAGAGCACTGCCAGGACCAGGTGGGGCTGGCTCGATGGGGAGAGAGGGCCCAGTAGAGAGGTCAGTGCGCTGTTTCCACCTGCAGCCGTAGCCTGGCAGGGACCCTCAGCCCTGGGCTAAAGCCCCTTCTCGGCATCTGATATGTCAGGTCTTTCTGCGGCGGGTTGGGTGCATCAGGGTGGGTGGAGTGAAATCCAGGGTCCAGGGTCCACTGGGGGTTGGGAGAGCCCTAAGCAGGAGTGGGGGCAGCTCCCTCTGGTAACACTAGCAGTAACGTAATCATCACGGCTTAGGGAGGGCCACCCGTACAACCAGCCCTGTCCCACTGAGTGCACCTGAGGAGCCAGCCGCTCTGACCCGCAGTTCCCAGACCTCAGGACTGAGCGCCTGTCCCAAGGTCATCCCACTGCAATGTGCTGCCACGGGGGCCGGTCTCAAGCCTGGGCAGTACGTGGGTCCAGAGCTGTCAGAGTGCCAGCGTCCAGCCCCCACCCCATGCGAGACCTTCACAGCAAGGAGACCGGAGACCCGATGGGCAGAGGGTAGGGGAGCTGGGGGTGGCTCCGACAAGGCCCCCTGAGAATGTGGCGGCCTAATTAGCACGGCATTCCCAGCCAGGCCTGCTCCAGGGGCCCAGCGAGGCAGATGAAAGCTGAAAGGCTATTCCAATAAGGGGCCGCCCACTTCTCAGCTGAGAGCGATCCTGGCGTGCTGGAGGGACCTGGAGTGGGTACATAATTCAGCGTGTCGGGAGGAGGGCGGGAGTTGAAGGCAAACCAGAGCCAGTGCCGAGATAAGACCTGGGATGGGTGGCTCTGCCCAGAACAGGGCCCCGCTCCCTTTTCAGGAGGGTGAGCGAGGCACGCTGCAGGGTGAAGGGGGCCGGGCCGCCACCCTATCCACAGTCCCGAGACAGGCATGTGTTTCTGTGTGCATACCTGTGTATTTGCACACATGCATCGGCTTTGCACGTGCACTCAGCTGTGCACACACATGTAAACACAGGCCCGCCCAGGTACATGAGCACACAAGCGTGCGTGCGCAGACACACGTGCACACACAGACACACAGTCACACAGAGACGCACACAGACCCCGTGCATACACAGACACACATTCAACATAGACACACACAGACCCCGTGCGCACACACACATTGACACAGAGACACGCACAGACCCCGTGCACACACAGACACATTCACAGAGACGCACACAGACACATGTGCACACACAGACACATTCACACAGAGATGCACACAGGCCCCATGCACACACATTCACACAGAGACGCACACAGACCCCGTGCACACACACATTCACACAGAGATGCACACAGACACACGTGCATACACAGACACACGTGCACACACAGAGACACAGACACACGTGCACACAGACACACATTCAACATAGATGCACACAGACCCCGTGCACACACAATTCACACAGAGACGCACACATTCGCCATGCACACACAGACACACAATCACACATAGATCCACACAGACCCCGTGCACACACATATTCACACAGAGACACACACAGACCCCGTGCACACACACATTCACAGAGATGCACACAGACACACATGCACACACACATATTCACACAGAGATGCACAGACACACGTGCACACAGACACACATTCAACATAGATGCACACAGACCCCGTGCACACACACACATTCACACAGAGACACACACATTTGCCATGCACACACAGACACACAATCACACATAGATCCACGCAGACCCCGTGCACCCACAGACACACATTCAACATAGATGGACACAGACCCTGTGCACACACGTACACATGCCCATGACACACAGGTACACACACCACGCACAGGCTCAGTCTGGGCCCAGGCCGGCCTCCTGGCTGCAGGGACTGAGCGGGACGCATGGTGTTTGAGAAGACACGTGCCTTGTGCCTGCCTGTGTGCCCCTCCCCTTCCTGCATTCAGAGGTTTTTGTTGAGGGAGGCACAGGCTTGGATTTGCCTGACCTGAATGACCTGGATGACTGACCTGTCCTGGTTGGTTGGTTTGTTTGGGACTGTCCTGGTTTTAGCACTGAAAGTCCCACACATCCTGGAAAACCCCTCTGTCCCAGGCAAACCTGCCCTGGTCACCCTGCCCTGGGCCTCTGGCTGGCCTGGGGCTGGATCCTCCTTCCCAGAGCTCTCCTCACCGTGTGGTCACCCCGTGATTGACCAGGAAGCCTCCAGATAGAGCCAGGGCCTAGTCTCTGCTCTCACCCTGGAGGCTCTGAGTCTCCTCGCTTTGGGTAAGCGCCCCTCTGTTTATGGAGCGCCTGCTAGGAGCCAGGCCCTGGGCCTAGGGCTTCCTGAGCAGCATCTCTCAGTCCCCCTGCTGACTCAGAAAGATTCTTCCTTCATCCAGCCATTGTGACAGGTCACCTGCTGGATGCCAGTGTTCTGGGCCCTGAGGGTACTGCGGAGAACACAGCAGGCAAAACCACCGTCCTCACGGAGTCAACATACACTCAGTGCGGAGAGATGGAAAGTCAATAAGAAAAATAAGGAAATCACGTAGTGTATTAGAAGAGGGGGAATGCTGTGGGGTAAAGTGAAGCAGGGCGGCCGGGCGTGGTGGCTCACAACGGTTATCCCAGCACTTTGGGAGGCCCAGGTGGGAGGATTGCTTGAGGCCAGGAGTTTGAAACAAGCCTGGTCAACATAGTGAAACCCCATCTCTATTTTTTAAAAAAAGACTGGGCGCAGTGGCTCACACCTGTAATCCCAGCACTTTGGGAGGCCAAGGCGGTGGATCAAGAGGTTGGGAGTTCAAGACCAGCCTGGCCAACATGGTGAAACCCCATTTCTACTAAAAATACAAAAATTAGCCGGGCATGGTGGCGGGCACCTGTAATCCCAACTACTCAGGAGGATGAGGCGAGAGAATCGCTTGAACCCGGGAGGTGGAGGTTACAGTGAGCTGAGATCGTGCCACTGCACTCCAGCCTGGGTGATAGGTGAGATTCTGTCACAGAAAACAAAAAACAAAACCACCAGGTTGCTCAGACAAGGCCTCAGGGGACTTGGGGCACCTGAGGAAGAGGCAGGGACAGCTGCGAATGGTGGGGTGAGGGCAGGAGTCCCCCAGACACCCTGGGAAGCGCTCCAGGCAGAGGGAACAGCACGTGCAAAAGGCTAGAGGTGGAGCATCCCTGGCGTGAATAGGGTGTATCAGGGAGGCCACTGCGGCTGGGGAGGGAAGGAGGGGGTGGCAGCTCAGATCCAACTGGGCCTCTGGGCCACAGAACAGACTTGGAGGGACCTTACTGAGAGAGATGGGAGCCACAGAGGGGTGCTGGATCTCCCTGCCTACTGTGTCAGATGAGATACAGGGGCGAGGTTGGGGCAGAGGGACCACTTAGGAGCCTATTGCAATAGTCCAGGTGAGAGGTGATGGTTGCCCAGACTAGGGTGGTGGCCATGAGAAGTGGGTAGTTGCGTAATACATTTTGAAGTTGGCCGGGCACGGTGGCTCATGCCTGTAATCCCAGCACTTTGGGAGGCCAAGGTGAACAGATCACCTGAGGTCAGGAGTTTGAGACCAGCCTGGCCAACATGACGAAACACCGTCTCTACTAAAAATACAAAAATTAGCCGGGTGTGGTGGTGGGCACCTGTAATCCCAGCTACTCAGGAGGCTGAGGCAGGAGAATCACTTGAACTCAGGAGGTTGGAAGTTGCAGTGAGCCGAGATCGCACCACTGCACTCCAGCCTGGGGGACAGAGCGAGACTCTGTCTAAAATATTTCTAAGGTGTTTGGCCGGAGAAGCTGAAATGAAGGCGCTGCGTCTGACTGAGATGGATTATATGCGAGTGGAGGAGGCTTGTGGGGGAAGAGCAGAGCTCAGTTTGGGAGGCTTTCGTGTGACAGATGGAGATGTGGGGGAGGCCGACGTCCGCAGACAAGAGGGCCACGCTGGAGCTTTAAATGACTGCCCCATTTTGCAGGTGAGGAAGATGAGGCTCACACAAGCGTGGGGACACACCGGTTAAGTTGAGGATCCAGGGCTGGGCGAGGTAGCTCGCGCCTGTAATCCCAGCACTTCGGGAGGCCGAGCCCAGGAGTTCAAGACCAGCCTGGGGAACATAGTGAGATCCTATTGCTACAAAAAATAAAAAATTCACGGAGCGTGGTGGTGTGGGCCTATATTCCAAGCTGTCTGGGAGGCTGAGGTGGGAGGATCTCCTGAGCCCAGGAGGTTGAGGTTGCAGTGAGCTATGATTGTGCCACTGCACTCCTGCCCAGGCGACAGAGCAAGACCGTGTCTTAAAAAAAAAATAGGATTCAAACTCAGGTCTCTCTGGCTCCAAAGCTTGTGCTCTTTCCAATGCCCTATGCCATGGACAAGGAGCCCCTGCCCATCCTGCACACCCCACGCCCCACGTCCAGCAATAGGACGAGGGAAGCCCAGCTGTGCGCTGGCTGGCTTCCATGTCTCCAGGGCTGAGCCAGGCTCCAGGCGGGGCTGCAGAGGGGATGATGGGCCCACCAGGAAGTGGCCTGTGCTTGGGTGCAGCATGGAGGGACAGTGCCAAGTAGCCTAAGGCGCCAGCAGCCCCAAGTGCAGCCGGCCTGGCCTGAGGCTGTTATCTGACCAGCAGAGAGCATTGGGTTAGCATCGACTGGCATAGAGAGGAGGATCTGCCAATCTGCCAGGACTGGGAAAGCGGGGAGGGGGAGAGAGGGAGGGCTGCAGAGCCAGAGGGATCTTACCGGTCTCCAAGACCCAGAGAGCCCCACGGCCCTGCCCAGGGGGCTGCGGGGATACCAGCCATGGGGCCAGCCCTGCTCAGGCACAGGGAGGGGCAGTCCCTTCGGTGCTGGCAAGTTGGGGTGAGCAGCTCGAGGCTCTGGGGCCTATGAGGGCCAACCAGCCCTTCGTGGAGGACGCCCTGCCCACCACGTGCAGGATGGAGCTGGGGGCAGAGCCCTGGACTTGCAGTCAGCTGGGTTGAGGCCTGCTCGCTGCCCTGTCGCCAGCCATGTGCCGTGGCCGGTGCCTTACCCTGGTGGGCCTCGTTTCCTCCTTTGTGAAATGGGGGCTGTCCTGAGGACTCTGGTACACAGTTAGGGCTGGGTCCGCCTTGGTTGGTCCTGTCCTGCTTCCAGGGGCCGGGAAGCTGCAGAGTGCCCTCCACAATGACCAGCTGTGGCTGGCCGGCCTGGGCCTGGGGCAAGGGCCCTGTGAGGGCTGGTCCCACTGGGGACATCTCTGGCCATCCTGGCTCTGGGTTCCCCCAGCCCAGCTGAGCTGAGGTTACAGCCTCCTTGGAGGCTCTGTGTACTTAGAGCCTGAGAGACAGAGCCAGGGTAGGAAGGGGCACGTCGCCCCCTTCCCACTGCAGGGCCTTCGCACGGGCTGTGGCCATTGCCTTTCCCTTCCCACCATCCTGGCAGGTGTGGCCTCACAGGACAACTTGTAGGCACATCTGGGGCTGCTGAGCGGACCGGGTAGGGTGGCTTCCCGTGCTCAGGCCACCCGCCTGAGCTGCCCCCATGCTCCCTGACCAGCAAGCAGGGACTTGGGGATTTGCAGAAAGGAGGACCTGAACACAACACAGCTCTCCTTGCCTCCTCTGTGCTGGCTGGAATCCTAAGGCAACCCTGTGAGGCAGGGACCCTTCTCCCTGGTTCCCAGATTCATACTCCAGGAGGTGACGGAACAATGTTGGCAGGTGGCACGGGGATGGCAGGGGTCTTTCCTGAGCACCCCCACTTCCCACACACACCTCCAGGGGCCTACCCTAGGCCCCAGCACCTGGCCAGACTGCCTGCTCTTGGGAGCCCCCATCTCCTAGTGAGCCCCCCCATCTGCTAGTGAGCCATGAGGATCCTCCGTATCCCCCCACCCAGTCATTCTGGGCCCTCCCCACTGGCACCCCCCACACCCCGGGGCTCAGGCAGCAAGTGTTGAATGGAGGAGGGAATGAATGAGGCCTCAGAGATGCGGGTGAGCTCAGGCATGTGGGAGGCCAGGAGGTTTGGGGATACCCGAGCAGTCAGCCGAGCACGTGCCCCTGGAGGAGAGGAGGAGCAGGGGGACTCCCCCAGGGAAAGCTTGGGGGAGTTTTGGGGGAGGCCCGGCCTTGCTCTCCTCAGCCCCCTCTGGCAGAGCCACCCCTGGCCCACCCAGGAGGGGACGAGGAGGCTGGTGGGAGGGGTGCAGGGCTCCTCCGGAGAGAGTCTGATCCCTGCTAATTTGCAATCTTAAAATGCACCGCCAAGGCTCGGGCCTCACTTCTGCACATTAATCAGGCAATCAGCGGGTCGGGGCTCCCAAGGGCTGCATGGAGGGGCATGAGAGGAGCCGTGGCAAAGCTGCGCCAGCCTCCCTGGGAGAAACCCAGCAGGGGGACCGTCCAAGACTGGGGCACCCACTGGCTCTGGCAGGGGGTACCAGAGGCGGCGGGGCCAGCTGGGACAGCTGGTCCAGGTCTTGGAGATGGGACCAACTTCCAGCGTGCAGAAGCACTCAGCAGAGACATCCCTACTCTCCAGGAGGAGGGGCAGGGGTGCCTGGAAGGACAGCTTCCCTGGGGTGGGTCCCCTGCATCTGGGCAGTACCCAAGGTCGGTGAGCACTCCCCCGGGCTCGGATCCCCCCCCACCGCCTGGCCCCCGAGGGGCCCTCCACCATCCTCAGGCACTGGGACGGGAGGGGCTGCCCACACTGGTGCCTGTGGCTTGTTGCCCGGCCCCCGCCCCAGGCCCCTGATACAATGGCTTGTTCTTCCTTGAGACCGGGAATGTGAGCCAGGCCCTGCACCAAGCCTGGAGCCCTCTCAGAGGAGGGGCAGGAGGGTTCCTGCCCTGGGTCTTCACTCCACCCCTGCTCTCTGACCCCTCCCACCCACGGCACACCCACGAGCCACGTACCAAGCCCACTCCTGGATGTGGGGGCCATTTGGCTTTTTCACCTAAACTGGGGTCCTTGCCTGGTGTCCCCTGTTTCCTGACATCCCTTGGAGGCACCTGCTTTGTGTCTGACGGGGAAATGTCTCTCCGTGGGACCCGCTATTAGCTTCTCCGGGTGTCATTTCAGAGAACTGCATCCTGGACCTTACAGAGATAGCCACACAGTGGGTGAAGGAGGGCTCCCCACACCCCAGCACACCGGGTAGTCCTGAGGCTCAGGGGAGTGTGAGCAGAAGCACTTTGTAAACTCCAGTAAGCTGTGCAAATGTCGAGTGGGATTAGCGCTGAGCCGGACACATATCACCCCGTCCCCCTGCCGCAAGGCCTCTCTTGCTGCAGCCCAAGGGACGAAATGGCTTTGTCTTTGCAGAATGGCCTGGCTGTGGCCCCGTCCCCAAAAGCCTGAGATGTGGGATGAGAAGCAGTGAACACCATGAACACCCTTGAGCTAGGAGGGGCACCCTGGCTCCCTCAGGGTGGCAGAGCGGGGCGGCTCCCTGGGGGAGGAAGCTTCCTACAGGTGCGGGAAGCACCTTCCTGGAGGGTAGCAGCCCGAGGAGGGGTGAGGAGTGTGAGCTGAGAGAGACGGGGAGTGTCGGCTCTGTGGAAGGTGCAGCTGGTGTGGGTTGGGGCCCCCTCCCAGCCCTGGGTGTGGAGGGTTCAGGCAGTGGGCAGGCTTCCCAAAAGTCAAGTGGGGTTTGGAGCCCAGGTTCCTCCCCCAACACACCCCTGCCTCCCCCTGCAGGCTGGGTCTCCTTGGGCAGATGGAGGCAGGCAGCAGGGGCTGGAAGCCAGATCTGAGCCTCCAAGTGGAGACGGTGGACACTGCCATCATCTCCTACGTGTGGTAGGAGGGGAAACTGAGGTAGGAGGGGGAAACAGCAGCAGCCTCGGCCCAGCCTGCGGGCTGTGCACTGGGCGGGACAGAAGTCACTGCAGAGAGCACAGAGAGCACGGCTTGGCCCAGAAAGGGTCCTTGAAGCTGTGCCACCGCCACCGCTGAAGTCATAATTCCTCTGAATTCGCAACCGAGCCCAATTATGCAAAAAAAACAAATTATGTACGATGATTTTTATGTGTTGGAAATGTTCAGTCGAAGCCGGGTGATTACAGGGGACGGGAAGCAGCTGCCACTCTCTGGGAGCCCATAACTCCCAACAGCTGGGAGCTGTCACTTATTTACGAGGCTGTTTCTGCCAGGAACGAGGGGGTGACAGTGGCGGTGAGGCCTGCTGGGCCGTGAGCCTGGGCAGGCAGCGGCACGAGGCCGGGAGCAGGGCTGGCCCGAGAGTGGCCAGAGGGTTGGTTCTCTCATCCCACAAGCTCTGGGTACAGCTGCAGCAGAGACTCAGCTGCCCTGGGTGCCCCGGCTCTCCCATGAGGCCTGGCTGGAAAGCTAGAAGCAAAGGGGCTGGAGGCTAGCTGGGTAGGGAGGAGATGGCTGCCTGGCCCTCCAGGGTGGGGGCCTGGAGGCCTGGAGCCGGCCCCCCAACCTCGGCGCGCCTGCCTGGCCGCCTGGGGCAGCTGGGACCCTGGAAAAAGGTAGGTAATGACGATCGTCCGTAATGAGGGTGCTCCAATAATGAGCACGGGGCTATTATCCGACCACAGGCTGGACACATCGGAAAATAAATTATTTTAAGGATCCATTAACGAATGCCTAATTAATGCCCAATTAGAGGGAAGCTACAGAGGAAACGCTCTGGACAGTCGAGAGGCAAGGCCTGGTTTTGCAACCACAGCCTGGAGGCTGGAGTGAGGTGGGAGAGGGGAGTGGCCAGAAGGTGGGCCGGGATTGGGGCAGCCTCGCCTGACAGCTGGTGCCACCCCCAGACCTTCACAGACAGGCGCCCTCTCAGGACATCCACACAGCTCTGCCAGGGAGAACTGCTATTGTCTGTATTTTATTTATTTATTTATTTATTTATTTATTTATTTATTTATTGAGACGGAGTTTCGCTCTGTCGCCCAGGCTGGAGTGCAGTGGCACGATCTCAGCTCACTGCAAGCTCCACCTCCCGGGTTCACGCTATTCTCCTGCCTCAGCCTCCCAAGTAGCTGGGACTACAAGTGCGCGCCACCACGCCCGGCTAATTTTTTTGTATTTTTAGTAGAGACGGGGTTTCGCCGTGTTAGCCAGGATGGTCTCGATCTCCTGACCTCGTGATCCGCCCGCCTCGGCCTCCCAAAGTGCTGAGACTACAGGTGTGAGCCACTGCTCCCGGCCTTTATTTTATTTATTTATTTTTTTTGAGACAGAATCTCACTTTGTCACCCAGGCTGGAGTGTGGTAGTGCAATCTCAGCTCACTGCAACCTCCGCCTCCCAGGTTCAAACGATTCTCCTGCCTCAGCCTCCTGAGTACTACTGAGCCTCCTGAGTAGCCACCCGGCTAATTTTTGTGTTTTTAGTAGAGACAGGGTTTCACCATGTTGGCTAGGGTGGTGTTGAACTCCTGACCTCAGGTGATCCGCCTGCCTCGGCTTCCCAAAGTGTTGGGATTACAGGCGTGAGCCACCGCGCCCGGCCATGTCTGTATTTCAGAAATGAGGAAACTGAGGCTTAGAAGGGGTGTTGCCCGTATGTTTTGAGGATGTGGAAGACACTGTAAATGTAAAGGAGACATTATTTGAGGTGAACTTTGGTGCCACGCATGCATGCTGTGCTTGTAATTGGGAATGATTCAAATAAAGAGATTCTGGCCGGGCGCGGTGGCTCACACCTGTAATCCCAGCACTTTGGGAGGCCAAGGCAGATCACCTGAGGCGGGGAGTTCGAGACCAGCCTGGCCAACATGGAGAAACCCCGTCTCTACTAAAAATACAAAAACTACCTGGGCGTGATGGTGCGCACCTATAATCCCAGCTACTCAGGAGGCTGAGGCAGAGAATCACTTGAACCCCGGAGGCGGAGGTTGCAGTGAGCCCAGATCCCGCCACTGCACTCCAGCCTGGGCAACAGAGTGAGACTCCATTCAAAAAAAAAATTAAATTCAATAAAAAATAAAAATAAATAAATAGAGATTCTTCAGGACTCTGCATGAGATATTTACTACATTAGAGCAAGAGTCCTTCCCAATATCCGTGAGCACAGATAACAACAACCAGCGGCACAGCTAGGAGGAGAGCAGGAGGCTGACGGCTGTGTCCCTGGGTCATGACCTACACCCCAGCAGTGTGACAGAGCTGGAGCAGGTGGGGCTGGGGCTCAGCAGCTGTGGGGTGGAACTAAGGAGGTGTGGGGGTGATTGGGGCCTTCACCCCAGACTCACCTCCCAGCCCAGCAGAAGTGGGTCACCAAGGAGGGGAGGCCTCTCATCCCCGACGGGTTCCAGGCTTGGGCCTTGACCCTGGCCTTGCTCCAGCCAGGGACAAGGCTCTCACGGAGCTCAGCCAAGACGAGGATGCGTCCTCGGCGGGCGCCGGAGGGTGCGGTGCCAGTCCTCACCTGCACGGCCCCTGACCTGGCTGTGCTCTCTCTCCCTGCCAGGGTGCTGTGTGGAGTTGCTGCTGCTGTTGGTAGCTGCGGAGCTGCCCCTGGGTGGTGGCTGCCCACGGGACTGTGTGTGCTACCCGGCGCCCATGACGGTCAGCTGCCAGGCGCACAACTTTGCAGCCATCCCGGAGGGCATCCCCGTGGACAGCGAGCGCGTCTTCCTGCAGAACAACCGCATCGGCCTCCTCCAGCCCGGCCACTTCAGCCCCGCCATGGTCACCCTGTGGATCTACTCGAACAACATCACCTACATCCACCCCAGCACCTTCGAGGGCTTCGTGCACCTGGAGGAGCTGGACCTCGGCGACAACCGGCAGCTGCGGACGCTGGCACCCGAGACCTTCCAGGGCCTGGTGAAGCTTCACGCCCTCTACCTCTACAAGTGTGGGCTCAGCGCCTTGCCGGCCGGCGTCTTTGGCGGCCTGCACAGCCTGCAGTACCTCTACCTGCAGGACAACCACATCGAGTACCTCCAGGACGACATCTTCGTGGACCTGGTCAACCTCAGCCACCTGTTTCTCCACGGCAACAAGCTGTGGAGTCTGGGCCCGGGCACCTTCCGGGGCCTGGTGAACCTGGACCGTCTTTTGCTGCACGAGAACCAGCTGCAGTGGGTCCACCACAAGGCGTTCCACGACCTCCGCAGGCTGACCACCCTCTTCCTCTTCAACAACAGCCTCTCGGAGCTGCAGGGTGAGTGCCTGGCCCCGCTGGGGGCCCTGGAGTTCCTCCGCCTCAACGGCAACCCCTGGGACTGTGGTTGTCGCGCGCGCTCCCTGTGGGAATGGCTGCAGAGGTTCCGGGGCTCCAGCTCCGCTGTCCCCTGTGTGTCCCCTGGGCTGCGGCACGGCCAGGACCTGAAGCTGCTGAGGGCCGAGGACTTCCGGAACTGCACGGGACCAGCGTCCCCGCACCAGATCAAGTCACACACGCTCACCACCACCGACAGGGCCGCCCGCAAGGAACACCACTCACCCCACGGCCCCACCAGGAGCAAGGGCCACCCGCACGGCCCCCGGCCCGGCCACAGGAAGCCGGGGAAGAACTGCACCAACCCCAGGAACCGCAATCAGATCTCTAAGGCGGGCGCCGGGAAACAGGCCCCCGAGCTGCCAGACTATGCCCCAGACTACCAGCACAAGTTCAGTTTTGACATCATGCCTACGGCCCGGCCCAAGAGGAAGGGCAAGTGTGCCCGCAGGACCCCCATCCGTGCCCCCAGCGGGGTGCAGCAGGCCTCCTCGGCCAGTTCCCTGGGGGCCTCCCTCCTGGCCTGGACACTGGGGCTGGCGGTCACTCTCCGCTGAGGACCCAGGGCGTCAGCACCCAGCACTGCCACATGTCCACCAAGGAACAGAATTTATTTTCTTCTTTTTTTAACAAGTGGAAGATCTGCTGGGTTTCAGGAAAAGGCTGGTAGAGCCTTCGGCTGCTGTCTGGACGTCTGGACCCTGCCATGTGGATTATAAACCCAAAGTGTACAGCCCTAGGCGGGAGGGGGTGGCGCTTCTCAGCCGGCTGTCCCAGCCAGCCCCGCAGAGCGCCCACGGACAGTGTCCACTCTGGCAAGGTGGGAAAAGGCACTCCAAGTGCATCCTCCACTGGCAACAGTGGGACAATTGCCCCCGACGGCGGCACCGGGGCTCTGTGGAATCCCGATCGTTCCGAGAGGTCTGGAGGGCCCCGTGGTTCCTGGAGAAAGCAGGACGCAGAGAAGAACAAATGAGGCTCACCCACGAGGCTGGGTGGCCAGCAGTCTGGGCACACACGAGCAGGTGGCATCTTGGCTCTTGCCTGAGGCCAGTCACCCTGCCCTGAATTCTATCCTACTCCACCTTCAGCCCCTCCCTCGGGGGTAGCGCCTCTCATTCCTGATGTCTCAGGCAACCCTGGCAGACCCAGGTCCAACTGCTGGGGTCCAAGAACCAATTACCAAAGGAAAGATCATCAGAGGCTGAAATCTAGAACTTCATCCCGGGCAATGAGGTTCTCACAGAAGGTGCAGTTTTATAACTAACTACGTCCACTTATATATATTCACACTCTACATATATATATATATATATATATATATATATATATATATATATACACAAATGCACAGTCCCCCTCCCACTCCGTTACCTAACTGTACGTCTTTTCATGTTTATAAACTATACAGAAAACTGTATTTGCTGAACTAAGGATTGTATTGGTGATTTCTAGCAAAAACAAAGTGATAGAATTTTTGTCTAGAATCCCAAACTGGCAACGATAGTCTCCAAGGGACCTGGCCTTGCCAAGGGCCTGGGGCAAGGTGTCGGCGGGACGGTGAGGAAGGGGGAGGCAGCAAGAGTCACTTTGGGGGACCAATATTCTTAGATATTTAGAGCATCACCTTGTTTTTATATGCAACACAAGCCTGTCTGCCACCCTGGAGCGCCCTGTCACCCCTGCTGTCGTAGCTGTTGGCTTCAGGGTGAGAAGTGAGAAGCAGCTTATTGTATATGAGGGAGCCAGGCCCCGAGGGTGAGCGAGATGGAGAAGGGGAAGGAAGGGGCTTTGGGATCTGGAAACCAGCAGGCCAGGCAGCATCCACAGTGTTAGTCCAAAGGGTCGGACCGTGTCGTCAGCCTAGCGTTTGGTCAGTGACGGCCTGGACGGGCCAAGGAGACTCCGGGCTTGAGCCCAGGCCTCCCGCACGGCTCAGCTGCTGAATTTTTCCTTGAGGCTGTTTGGTGTGTGACCCAGCAAGGGCCCTGTGTGGGACAGCAGGAGGGAGGCGTCGGGGGCCTTAGCAGAAGGGGAACAATGAGGGCATTTCATGAACCATCTCAGGCACTTCTGCATCACGGAAGACCTGGCCCTCCCAGCCGTCCTGGGGATGCTCAGGGTGCAGGCAGAGGCTCGGGAGGCCGGACTCAGGGGTCAGAAGCAGGGACTGGGGCAGGCGAGCCCGGACAGGGAAGAGGGGCTCCGATCAAAGCCGGCCGTGCTGCTGGCCGGGGGCCCAGGTGGGTACAAGCTCCTTTGTGCTTTGCACAAACCTGAATCCCCCACCAGAGAGGATGTGTGTGAGGAGCCAGAAACGCTGAATCCAATTAAGAGAGAAAAATAATAATAACAATAAATGATCTTGGACAAGAACCCTGTTTTTCATTTCCTAACCCCGCATTCCCGACAGGTGGCAGATCCTGGGCTTCTGTGGGTGGGCGAGCCTGGCCGGGCACAGCTCTGGGAACACAGCACATTTGTTGGCGGGAGGAGCCGCAGGGGGCAGGGGCGCACTGATTCACGGGACACATGAGAGCACGCACACCCTGGTGCTCCGTTTCGTGGCACTTCCCTTGCCCGCACAGATCATGATTCACTTTCCACATTCTGACTGCCCCGGGTCGGCACCATCTCCGTGGCTCTCCCCGGAGGAGGCTGGTCCTGGGTCCTTCCTGGCCTATTCCCGGGAGTCTCCGGAGCAATGGCTAAGTGACTGATCCTCAGGGCGCCCGGCAGGCGGCTGGTGGGGACGGGCGGCTGCAAGGAAACAGTCAGTACCTGGGGCCCAAGGAGTTTTCCAGGAGGCTAGGGACCCACCCGGACAGCTGTGGGTGGGCTTGGAGACTGCACACGTCTCTCTGGCTTCAGAGAAAGGAGAGGGTTCCCCGGATAGAGGGAGGAAGGCTGTGTTTTCAGGCCTGGCTGGACAAATCCTCCTCAGTATGAGGCTTGGGGCATTCACTAAAGGGAGCCCAGTGACTGCAGACCAAAGAATCCTCAGCCTGCACCTGCTCCCCTGTGGCCTGCAGGCTCTGACCCAGGCCGAGGTGCTAGGGCCTGGCTGTCCCTTAGAACCCAAGGATGTTGTTGTGTTGTTGATTTCATTTCCAGCTTCAGACAGCAAGGCCCTCAGTGGGAAAATCAAGAGTCTAAGCACTTTATTAATTTTTTTTTTAAAAAAAGACTTAGGAAGTCCTGTAATATGGAAGTGAAATGTCAGTACGAGAAATGCTAATGTTTTATAAATGATCCGCTTCTGTCAAGCACAGCACAGTCTCTGGTTGCCGACTGTTATTAGAGGCAAGGCAGTGGGGGCCCAGGACGCCAGGTATTTTTAGCAGCTTTCTCCTCTAAGAGGTAGGGGGAATCAAGGCAGCTCTGTTGCAGACGACATCAGTTGTCACTCAGCAGCTCATGCTACGCAGTTATGATGACACCATCGCCCCAAACATCAAAGCAACTGGACGCGTCAGGGGCGAGGCAAAAGCTTCTCTATTCGCCAGCTCCAGCCCCTTGCGTCTGGTTCAGGGCATGGAGATGCAGATTCCTGTGGTCTTCCCAGAGGCGGGGGCCACCCCTCCGCTGCCATCTTCCCACTTTCCCTGGACCCCCAGAGGGAGTCATCTCTTCTCCCTCCCAGCCCTCCTGCCACACAGGCCTCCACTGTGGACTGATGGGGACAGAGCCACCCCTGTTGGAGGGGCTGGGTGGCCACTGGTGGTCTCCACTGTGGACTGACGGGGACAGAGCCACCCCTGTTGGAGGGGCTGGGTGGCCACTGAAGGCCTCCACTGTGGACTGATGGGGACAGAGCCACCCCTGTCGGAGGGGCTGGATGGCCACTGGTGGTCTCTAAGGCCTTTCACACAAGCTCCTCCCCTGACCCCAGAGCTTGGCTGGCTCTGCATAGTTCATTCAACAAGGGCTGATCAGGGACCTCCGTGTCCAGCCACTGGCCAGGCTCTGGGGACATAAACGTGAGAAGACGTGGCTCGGGGCAAAAGGAGCTCAGAGCCTAGATGTAGAAACAAGTATTCGCAACTGGTATGGAGTTGGCGCTTGTGGTAGCACCCCTCGGCCCCCAAAATGAGGAGCTCAGCTGGGTGGGGGCAGTCAGAGAGGGCTTCCAGGCAGAGGTGACACTCCAATGAGTCTTGGAGGATGAGGAGCCACCCAGAGAAGAGTGTGGGGAGTAGGGCTAGAGGTGGTAACAGCACTGTGTCTGGGGTATCCACAAACCACTCCCAGCTGAGGGCATGGGAGACGCGCCCTGTATGGGAGCGGCCCAGGGGACTCTGCTCAGGGACTCCACTCTGCCGTGGAAGTGGAGGGGCTGTGCGGTCCCCCCGACCTGGTCGTCCTCCCGCCCACCCCCCCCAGCCTGTCCATAGGCACGTGGTTTCTGACCGTGGCAACCTTGCCGCGGTTCTTCAACAGTGGGTTTCATGGTGGAAACTTGCCTCCTGGGCTCAGCCAGATCCTCCCCTGGTGCCAGCAAGCTGGAGCGCTCGCTGGAAGTCTGCCTGGGCCACAGGCCCATTCCCAGACACCTGCTGCTTCCAAGCTTGGGAAGCATTCCACGGCCTGCGCTCCCTGCTTCCCAGCCGCGGCCGCCCTCAGCCCCTCCTGACTTCGGAGCAGCTCAGATCACCCCGGCGCTTCTGCCTGTGCGGGCTGTGACCATCAGCCAGCCCCAGAGCCCCTCCCACCAACCGCACCCCTCCTCTCCTGCCGGGGCTGTTCTTTGCAAAAGCCAAGAATCCCATTTAGCAAATGTTTACTCATCACCCAGCTAATCACCAGCGCTCTGCCGCCACGGTGAATGGGCTCCAGGAAGGCCTGTGAGCAGGTTGGGGGGAGCGGGAGAGCCCGGGAGGCCTCGTGGAGGGCAAGCTGCAGGGACTGGGGTCAGAGGGAAGGAGTTTGCTGCGGAGGCTCCCTGGAGCCACCGAGCCCTCAGCAAATTCCCCTGGACATGCACGCCCGCTTCCCAGGCAGGCCCCACCAGCCCATGAGCCGACCCACCTCTCTGCCAGGGACCCAGCTCCTCCGGGCCCTACTCTATGCTGACCTAGGGAGGCAGTCTTTCTCTGCGTTTATTTGTCCTACTCTATGCTGACCTAGGGAGGCAGTCTTTCTCTGCGTTTATTTGTAGCCTCCTGAGGCTCAAACAATCCTCCTGCCTCAGCCTCCTGATTAGCTGGGACTACAGGGACACACCACCATACCAGGCTAATTGTTTTATTATTTATTTATTTATTTATTTTTTGAGACAGAGTCTTGCTCTGTCGCCCAGGATGGAGTGCAGTGGCGCGATCTTGGCTCACTGCAACCTCCACCTCCCGGGTTCAAGCGATTCTCCTGTCTCAGCCTCCCAAGAACCTGGGATTACAGGAGCAAGCCACCGTGCACGGCTAATTTTTGTATTTTTAATAGAGATGGGTTTTCTCTACATTGGCCAGGCTAGTCTCGAACTCCTGACCTCATGGGATCCACTTGCCTCAGCCTCCCAAAGTGCTGGGATTGTAGGTGCGAGCCACCACGCCCAGCTAATTTTTTAACTTTTTAGTAGAGATAGGGTTTCACCATGTTGGCCAGGCTGGTCTCGAACTCCTGACCTCAAGAGATCCGCCCACCTCGGCCTCCCAAAGTGCTGGGATTACAGGCTGGGCCAGCGCACCTGGCTGGTGTTCATTCTTTGAGGAGGGGTGGGTGCATGCTTTGATGGAGTCCCTTCCAGCCCCCGTTCTGAAGCCTCCTGACCCGGTTCAGCTCCCCGCCTTGCCCTCTAACTTCACTTTCCTCTAAGCAGGAGTTCAGCCATCAGCCGCGACTCCATCCCCATCACCAATCCCCCACTATCAGCTCGTAATGGGCCAATTTTCTTTTACCTTCTGTCTACTTGGAAAATATCTCAAGAACCTTTGATTGTGCGTTAAAATATCCTTTAGAATTCTATGCTCGGTATCTTTCTGCTCCTCTAATTGTCCCTTTTAACTCACCGTGCTTTCCGTATAAATCTCCCGGTCTCCTCCTTCCCAGGCTGTTAATAAATATGAGCTCTAAAAAAATACATAAACATCTATTGTTGGCTAAATAACTCACGGCACAATCAAAAAGCCGGGAAAAGAAGAGAGGCTCGGCGCGTCGCATGGCCACCTGAGCACCCTCCCTCGCGCGGTCCTGCCGGTCTCTCCAGAGAGGGCTGCTGAAGGCAGGGGAGTCTGGGCCCTGAAGAGCCCATGAGGTGAAGGGACCCTGGGGGAGAAAAGGAAGCGAGGCAGAGAGAGTAGCTGTACTACCAGGGGGACAGGGCTCTCTCCAAGAGCGCCGAGTGAGGGGTTTGGACAAAGGAGACCCTCGTGCAGGGAGCAGCGGCTGGTTTAAGTGGCATTTCAGTGGGCTGGCCGCCAAGGCCCCTCACCACCACAAGAAGTGGGTCAGCCTCCTCTGACACCAGCGCCAGCCCACAAGGAGGGGGCCCGCCCCCATCTCTCTCCTCTCTGCCCTCATTTCTCATTAGAGCCGTTAGTTTCTAAGCTCCAGGAGGGTGGGGAAGGATGTGCCTTTGTGTCACCGATTCCTGTGTGGCAGCGTGCACACTAATGGCATGCCTGAACGGCAGAATTTGACATTGCTGCTGCAAGATGTGCTTGGGTCACAGTGCTTTCCAAATTGGCTGAGGCTCCACGCCACCCCCCTCCTCCCTCACCCAGGCGCCTCAGAGCCCCCGCCAGCCACTGCTTCTGCAGCTCCCTCTGAGGGCCTCGGAAAAGAGAGAGGAAGCAAGAGATGTATTAAACTCTTCCATCTCTGTAAGCACCATTTCCCAGGAGACCGACTCTAAGGAAGAAGGAAACACAAGTGCTGGAGGCCTACACAGGTAGGAGGTTGGGAGGAGGCACCAGGCTTCGTGTCTCCTCTCCCCACCCCCGGTACTGCTTTGGGGACAGTCCCTGGCAAGACAAGAATGCCCTCTGAGTGGCAGCATCCAGGTGGCCACGCGCCACTCCAGCCAGAGAGATTGGAGGGATAATTGCCACGTAAGACTTGCTCAGTGATGAGAGGCCGGGGGGACAAACCCACAGAGGAAACAATAGCATGGACTGGATGGGCAGGGGAAGGTGGTCTCTAAGCAAGACCCCAAAGGATGCACATGTACAGTCTCACTTGGAGAGAGAGGGCACAGCTCTGCGGGGCAGCCGTATAGCCAAACAGGCAGAAGGAGGAAAATATGCAGACGGGCGCCGCGTTAGGGAGAGGCTTTTGCACACACACGTGCACATGCCTCTCTGGCACGGCGTCCTGCCTCTCTCCCTTGTGCAGTCTCATGCAGCCTAGTGTGGGACATTCACATAGTCAATAGATTCGGGCCAGGCGTGGTGGCTCATGCCTGTAATCCCAGCACTTTGGGAGGCCGAGGCGGGCAGATCACAAGGTCAAGAAATTGAGACCATCCTGGCAAACATGGTGAAACCCCGTCTCTACTAAAAATACAAACATTAGCTGGGCGTGGTGGCAGGCGCCTGTAGTCCCAGCTACTCAGGAGGCTGAGGCAGGAGAATGGCGTGAACACGGGAGGCGGAGCTTGCAATGAGCCAAGATCGCGCCACTACACTCCAGCCTGGGCGACAGAGTGAGACTCCATCTCAAAAAAAAAAAAAAAAGAAAAGAAAAGAAAAGAAACAAAACAAAACAGATTTGAGCCCTGGCCATGTGCAAGGCCCCGGCCAGCGCTGGGACTGCCGGGTGAACACGAGGGCCTCCCCATGTGCAGCTGACATACCAGCCAAGGAGGCAGTGGCAGAAAACCAAATCCCTCTTTATCTAATTGCCATGGTAGTTGTCAGGAGAGAGGCAGCAGAGTCTGTCACGCAGCTGTCACTCAGGAAGAGTGAAGAGTGGGGCTGAGCCCCGCCCTCCACGCAGGCTGGTGGCCATCTGTCAGGGACACAGACGCTTGTGTGATAAGTGGGCAGATTCTGGGCTGCGCCCTGAGTGGCGGCATTTCCCACTGAGCCCTGGCCCTAAAGGAGTTTATCTGACTTGGAGTGGGTGGAGGCGTCGAGGGCAGGAAGCCCCTAGTCCCACCCGATGCCTCGCCTGTCCAGTGTGAGCTTGGAGGGTCTGTACTCCCCCTGCGGGCTGGGGTGCACTGACATTCTCCCCTGTACCAGGGACCACGGGGTCCCCAAGTTGTTTTTGTTTTTTGTTTGTTTGTTTTTGAGACGGAGTTTCACTCTTGTTACCCAGGCTGGAGTGCTGTGGCGTGATCTCGGCTCACTGGACCTCCACCTCCCGGTTTCAAGCAATTCTCCGGCCTCAACCTCCCGAGTAGCTGGGACTACAAGCGCCCACCACCACGCCCGGCTAATTTTTGTATTTTTATTAGAGACGGGGTTTCACAGTGTTGGCCAGGATGGTCTCAAACTCCTGACCTCGTGATCCGCCCACTTCAGCCTCCCAAAGTGCTGGGATTACAGGCGTGAGCCACCTCGTCCTGTGATGTTTTTATTCTTTATCTCAAATCTGAGCCTCGGAGGCCCTGAGGTCCCTGGCCCCTCATCTCGCTTGTTGCCAGGAGAGTCTCTCACTGTTTTATCTGCGACATTTAAAGTGCCACCGGGTGTCTGGCACTTTGGGAGTCTAAGGTACAGGCTCTTCTGAATTTCCGCACCAGCCCCCTTTCCAGGAGCTACTCCCAGGCTGGCCTCCTCGCCTGTGACCAGAGCACTCAGAAAGGAGGCTCAGGACTGGCACAGTGGCTAACGCCCGTAATCCCAACACTTCGGGAGGCCAAGGTGGGAGGACTGCTTGAGGCCAGAAGTTCAAGACCAGCCTGGACAACATAGTTCAAGACCAGCCTGGACAACATAGTGAGATACCATCTCTATGAAAAATATAAAAATTAGGTGGGCGTGGTGACACGTGCTTGTAGTCCCAGCTACTCAGGAGGCTGAGGCAGGAGGATGGCTCCAGCCCAGGAGTTTGAGGCTGCAGAGAGTCGTGATCACACCACTGCACGCCAGCCTGGGTGACACAGCAAAACCCTGTCTCAAAAAAAAAAAAAGTTCATTGGCCAGGCACTGTGGCTCATGCCTGTAATCCCAGCACTTTGGGAGGCTGAGGCAGGCGGATCGCGAGGTCAGCGGTTTGAGACCAGCCTGGCCAACATGGTGAAACCCTGTCTCTACTAAAAATGCAAAAATTAGCCGGACGTGGTGGCGTGCGCCTGTAATCCCAGCTACTTGGGAGGCTGAGGCAGGAGAATCATTTGAATGCGGGAGGCGGAGGTTGCAGTGAGCTGAGATCGTGCCATTGCGCTCCAGCCTGGGCAAGAGAGCAAGACTCCATCTCAGAAAAAAAAAAAAAAAGGTCCTTAGCAAGCAGACTAAAAATATTAAAACAAAGTAAAAAGCAAAGAAAAGAAAAAGGAAAGAGGCTGAAAGCCACCTTGAGCGGCTCCCACTTGGCATCATGCCTACTGAGGGGAGACGGGCAGAGGTCGGGTATTCTAGTTAGAAGGTGCTTTAGAGACGTCCCGGCTGCAAACTGCCAGGGTACAGCTGCTGGGACCTCCAAGCCTGCTGGCTGCCCCCAGCCTCAAACTTGATCTCCCTCCTTCCTTCCTCACTCACTCCACACCACCCCAAAAATGAGCATCCCTCTGGCCTCACAGGGACCCCTTGGGGAGGGATCTTCCTGTGACCACTCCCGCTGCGGCACGAGCTCCTCTCTCCTCCCCAGCCAACCTCATGCTAGGCCCAGTGCTTGGTCTCAGGCTCCCCAGAGGCCACCATGGAAGCTGCCTCCTTTTGCCCACTCCCCCTTCACGCTCAAAGTGGCTTCATTTCTTTCCTTCTTTCTTTTTTTTTTAAAATGGAGTCTCATTCTGTCGTCCAGGCTGGAGTACAGTGGTGTGATCTCGGTTCACTGCAACCCCTCCGGCTCCCGGGTTCGAGCGAAATTCTCCTGCCTCAGCCTCCCGAGTAGCTGGGATTACAGGTGAGCACCACCACGCCCGTCTAATTTCTGTATTTTTAGTAGAGATGGGGTTTCACTATGTTGGCCAGGCTGGTCTCGAACTCCTGACCTCAGGTGATCCGCCCACCTTGGCCTCCCAAAGTGCTGGGATCACAGGCGTGAGCCACCGCGCCCCGCCCGTATTTCAGATTTTTAAAGTCCCCTCCCAGACACAACTGAGAAGTGCCTCCTGTGTGGAGAAGGGATTATAATCCTCACTTTACAGAGAAAGAAATGGTCCTTCTAGTTATTCAGACCTGTGCTTCTGAGTCCAAGAGCGGAGCTCTTCCTCAGCTCAGCCCTGTTCTTCCTTTTGCCCAAGAGGAAGAAATCCAAGTGGCGGAGAGCCCATCCTGCGCGCCTTAAGGCTAAGATGGGACCAGTCTGGGGGAATCTTCCTTTTCATTCCCAGGAACTTCAAGCTCAGAAGAGCTGATGTGCAAAAAGCCTTGGAGAGAAAGTCAGAAGGTCCGTCTTCCTGACTTTCCTAGATCTTTCTGCTGTCCTGACCCCTCATCCCAAACTAGGTGACTGGGATTGCCCACCCGGTCACTGAGGGAGCTGCCAAGAGCTCCCTCCCATCTGTCTTCCTTCCCACCACGAAAAGGGGGCAGTGGCAGAAAACTCCCAAACTGGGCCGGGCGCGGTGGCTCACGCCTGTAATCCCAGCACTTTGGGAGGCCGAGGCGGGCGGATCACAAGGTCAGGAGATCGAGACCATCCTGGCTAACACGGTGAAACCCCATCTCTACTAAAAATACAAAAAATTAGCCGGGCGTGGTGGCGGGCGCCTGTAGTCCCAGCTACTCGGGAGGCTGAGGCAGGGGAATGGCGTGAACCCAGGAGGCAGAGGCTGCAGTGAGCTGAGATCGCGCCACTGCACTCCAGCCTGGGCGACAGAGCGAGACTCCGTCTCAAAAAACAAACAAACAGAAAACTCCCAAACTGGCCAAGGTGGTGGCCCCAGTTTCTTGACAGGTGTAGCTGAATCCTCATTTCTGAAAAGACCCCATGTTCAGTGTGACCGACTCCTGTAGTCTGGGCAGAGAAAGAAGACCTGGCCCCATCATCCTTCTTCCTACAGGGTACCACGAGGCTGCCACAGGGAATTCCTTCCACAAAGTAAAGGAAGATAGTGGACGCCTGGAATCCCAGCACTTTGAGAGGCCAAGGCAGGAGGATCTCTTGGAGTCAGGAGCTCAAGACCAGCCTGGACAACATAGCAAGACTCCGTCTCTACAAAAAATACAAAAAATGGCTGGGTGTGGTGGTTCATGCCTGTAATCCCAGCACGTTGGGAGGCTGAGGCGGGTGGATCACGTGGTCAGGAGTTCAAGACCAGCCAGGCCAAGATGGTGAAACCCCCTCTCTACTAAAAATACAAAAAATTAGCTGGGCGCAGTGGCAGGCGCCTGTAGTCCCAGCTACTCAGGAGGCTGAGGAAGGAGAATCGTTTGAACCCGGAGGGTGGAGGTTGCAGTGAGCCAAGATCGCGCCACTGCACTCCAGCCTCGGCGACAGAGTGAAACTCTGTCTCAAAAAAAAACTAAAAATAAAAATAAATAAAAAATAGGTACATTCTGGGCTGGGTGTGGTGGCTGACACCTGTAATCCCAATGCTTTGGGAGGCCAAGGAGGAAGGACACTTTAGACCAGGAGTTCAAGAACAGCCTGGGTAACATAGCGAGACCCATTTCTACAAAAAAAAAATTTTTTTTTTTTTGAGACAGAGTCTTGCTCTTGTTGCCCAGGCTGGAGTGCAATGGCGTGATCTCAGCTCACTGCAACCTCTGCCTCCTGGGTTCAAGCGATTCTCCTGCCTCAGCCTCCAGAGTAGCTGGGATTACAGGCACATGCCACAACGCCTGGCTAATTTTTTTCGCATTTTTGGTAGAGACGGGGTTTCACCACGTTGGCCAGGCTGATCTTGAACTCCTGACCTCAGGTGATCTGCCCACCTCAGCCTCCCAAAGTGCTGGGATTACAGGCATGAGCCACCGCGACTGGCCAATTTGTTTTTTTCTTTTTTTCTTTTTCTTTTTTTTTTTTTTTGAGACTGAGTCTCTCTGTGTTGCCCAGGCTGGAGTGCAATGGCGCAATCCCGGATTCGAGCAATTCTCCAGCCTCAGCCTCCCGAGTAGCTGGAACTACAGGCGCCTGCCATCACGCCCGGCTAATTTTTTGTATTTTTAGTAGAGACAGGGTTTCACCATGTTAGCCAGGATGGTCTCGATCTCCTGACCTCGTGATCTGCCTGCCTCAGCCTCCTGAAGTGCTGGGATTACAGGCGTGAGCCACTGCGCCCGGCCTTTTTTTTTTTTTTTTAGACGGAGTCTCGCCGTGTTGCCCAGGCTGGAGTGCAGTGGTATGATATTGGCTCACTGCAACCTCTGCCTCCTGGGTTCAAGTGATTCTCCTGCCTTAGCCTCCCATGTTGGCCTTGGTTTTAAGCCCAGGAGTTTAAGACCAGCCTGGGCAGCCTAACTGGCTGTAGAGCCACCATGCCTGGCTCTACAAAAAAAATTGTTTTAATTAGCTGGGCAGGCTGGGCATGGTGGCTCACTCCTGTAATTCAAGTACTTTAGGAAGCTGAGGCAGGAAGATCACTTGAACCCATAAGTTTGTGACCAGCCTGAGCAACATAGATGGCCCAGCTACAAAAACAAAACAAAACAAAACAAAACAACACACAGGGCTGGGTGCGGTGGCTCACGCCTGTAATTCAAGTACTTTAGGAGGCTGAGGCAGGGGGATCACTTGAGTCCATAAGTTTGTGACCAGCCTGAACAACATAGACGGTCCAGCTACAAAAAAAAAAAAGAAAATAGGCTGGGCACAATGGCTCACGCCTGTAATCCCAGCACTTTGGGAGGCTGAGGCAGGTGGATCACGTGAGGTCAGGAGTTCGAGACCAGCCTGATCAACATGGAGAAACCCTGTCTCTACTAAAAATAAAAATAAAAATAAAAAAAAATCAGCCGGGTGTGGTGGCGCATGCCTGTCATCCCAGCTACTCGGGAGGCTGAGGCAGGAGAATCGCTTGAACCTGGGAGGCAGAGGTTGCGGTGAGCCAAGATCGTGTCATTGCATTCCAGCCTGGTCAACAAAAAGCGAAACTCTGTCTCAAAAAAATAATAATAATAAAATAAAATAAAAAATAAATTAGCCAGGCACGGTGGCATGTGCCTGTGGTCCCAGGTACCCAGGAGGCTGAGGTGGGAGAATCACTTGAGCCCAGGGGTTCAAGGGTGCAGTGAACTGTGATTGTGCCGCTGTACTCCAGCCTGAGTGACTGAGTTAGACCCTGTCTCAAAAAAAAAAAAAAAAAAAAATTAGCTGGGTCTGGTGACAGTTTTAGGCCTCTTCTCAAGAGCTTTTGTGAATCCCGGGACTGTCCTTGGAATTTATATTTTCTTTTCACTGTTTTTGCTCATTTGAAAAATTGTCTCAAAATTTTCATGTTAATTTCAATCAAATATGTCTACTTTTCTTATTTGGAATATTTTCATGGATTTTAATATTTTGTTTCCAATTTTAAATGGTCTAATAGCAAATTGGCTTAAAAACTGAACGGGCAACCACTAATTCATATATCAATTTATCCTAGGTGATACTACAACATTTTACAATGTGTCTTAGTTTTTTTCTTTTTATTTGGAAATACTTACAGGTTCACAGGAAACTGAAAAAAAGAAAGCAGCAGGGAGGTCCTGGAGCCCTTTCACCCAGTTTCCCTCAATGGTAATATTTTGCGTAACTCCCTGTTAATTCACCATAAAAAAAATATATTTTGGGCCGGGTGCGGTGGCTCAGGCCTGTAATCCTAGCATGTTGGGAGGCTGAGGCGGGCAGATCACGAGGTCAAGAGATGGAGACCATCCTGGCTAACACGGTGAAACCCCGTCTCTACTAAAAATACAAAAATTAGAGCCAGGCGTGATGGCGGGCGCCTGTAGTCCCAGCTCATCGGGAGGCTGAGGCAGGAGAATGGCTTGAACCCTGGAGGCAGAGCTTGCAGTGAGCCGAGATCGAGCCACTGCACTCCAGCCTGGGCGACAGAGTAAGTCTCCATCAAAAAAAAAAAAAAAACTGGGCCTTTTCATCTCAGAAGTTCCTTCTCTCTCACTAGAGAGAGAGCTGTTTACCTTTCTCCTTTCTCTTTCTTTTGCCTATTAAACCTCTGCTCCAAATATATATATATATATATATATATATATATATATATATATATATATATATATATTTTTCAGTTAGTGATATTAATTTTACCTATTTGGGTAAAGTTTCCACATATTCAAACAACTTTGATAAGGAAAAAAATAAAGCTTCCAACAGGGACAAGGAAGGAATAGTCCTTTTCTTTTTTTCTTGGATATTTATGAATGAAATTTTAGGATTTTAAATGTCATTATATCATTGAACTGAGAAGTGGAAAATGAGAAGTGTTTGTCCAGATGCAGGATTATTGGCCAGAGTCCCCCTAACAAGTTTGGGGAGATGAAGGAGGTGTTCACAAACCTCCTGGAATTCAATGCAGGGCCCCTGGAATGTGCAGGTTTCCAGAGAGAGCTTTCTTTCTCTTTCTGTTTTTTTTTTTTGAGAGGTAGTTTCACTCTGTCGCCCAGGCTGGTGTGCAGTGGCCGGATCTCGGCTCACTGCAAGCTCTGCCTCCTGGGTTCACACCATTCTCCTGACTCAGCCTCCCGAGTAGCTGGGACTACAGGCGCCCGCCACCACACCTGGCTAATTTTTTTGTATTTTTAGTAGAGACGGGGTTTCACCGTGTTAGCCAGGATGGTCTCATCTCCTGACCTCGTGATCCACCTGCCTCGGCCTCCCAAAGTGCTGGGATTACAGCTGTGAGCCACCGCGCCCGGCCAGAGAGAGCTTTCTTTTTCTTTTTCTTTTCTTTTTCTTTTTTTTTTGAGACACAGTCTTGCTCTGTTGCCCAGGCTGGAGTGCAGTGCCACGATCTCGGCTCACTGCAACCTCCACCTCCTGGGTCCAAGTGAGTCTCCTGCCTCAGCCTCCTGAGTAGCTGGGACTACAGGCGCCCACTACCACACCCAGCTAATTTTTTGTGTTTTTAGTAGAGACGGGGTTTCACCATGTTAGCCAGGATGGTCTCGATCTCCTGACCTCGTGATCCGCCCCTCGGCCTCCCAAAATGCTGAGATTACAGGCGTGAGCCACTGCGCCCAGCCAAAAGCAGATGGAGTCTCACTCTGTTGCCCAGGCTGGAGTACAATGGCACCATCTCGGCTCACTGCAGCCTCCACCTCCCGGGTTCAACTGATTCTCCTGCCTCAGCCTCCCAAGTAGCTGGGATTACAGGCGCCCATCACCACGCTTGGCTAATTTTTGTATTTTTAGTAGAGGCAGGCTTTCACCATGTTGGCCAGGCTGGTCTCAAACTCCTGACCTCAGGTGATCCACCCGCCTCGACCTCCTAAAGTGCTGGGATTACAGGCATGAGCCACCGCGCCTGGCCTTTTTTTTTTTCTTTTAATTAATAAATAAATTAATTTATATTTTTGGGACAGGGTCTTCCTCTGTTGCCCAGGCTGGTCTCAAACTCCTGGGCTCAAGCGAACCTCCTGCCTCAGCCTCCTGAGTAGCTGGGCCCACAGGTGCAGGCCAGCACGGCCTTTTCATCAGATCCTGAAAAAGGCTAAGAACTGGCCCGGACTCCTTCGTTTCACCCTCAGCGGCTCCTCCGCAACGCCGCCTCCCACCTGGCATGTAGGTGGCACTCCGCCTGGGGATGACGAGTCCTTGGCAGAACCGGCTTGTGGAACAGCCAAGGCTGCGGCGGAAATAGTCGCTCTTGACCAGTTTGTCCTTTTGACCAATTTGGTTTCGACCCAATCGTCTACTCCTCCACTCTGTCACACAAGGAAAACGGGGCGGGGGTGGTGGGGGAAAGGATGGAGCGGCTGGTTCCAGAAGACGCCAGCAACGGAATTTTAAACCCAGGCAATCTGCTTCCTTGTCATCCTAAAAGCTGTGGCAACTGGCAGGCTCCAAGCTCCCTGGGAACACTGGCTTCCAAATGCTAGTTTGGAGACAAGGGGAGCCTGTGATTGCGATTTTACCGATTTGCAACGAAACATTAATGTATTGAGTTTTTTGCTAAGCCAAATTTATTCCATCTAAAGATAATCCTTTATTCTGAAATCATGTCCTTATTTTTTTTTTTCCTTTGGTTTGGGGAGGGAGAAGGGTGTTCTAAAAAGATCTTTCTTTGGCCGGGCGCAGTGGCTCACGCCTGTAATCCCAGCACTTTGGGAGGCCAAGGTGGGTGGATCACCTGAGGTTGGGCGTTCGAGACCAGCCTGGCCAACATGGTGAAGCCCCGTCTCTACGAAAAATACAAAAAAAATTAGCCAGGCCTAGTGGCGGGTGCCTGTAATCCCAGCTACTCGGGAGGCTGAGGCAGAAGAATTGCTTGAACCCGGGAGGCAGAGCTTGCAGTGAGCCAAGATTGCACCATTGCACTCCAGCCTGGGTGACAGAGTGAGACTCTGTCTAAAAAATAAAAGTAAAAATGATCTTTCTTTTCTGAACCAACGGGACTGGTACATAGCAGCTTCTGTGTCTTGGGGTCTCTCATTGGCCAAACAAAATGCTGGCAACCCAAGGCAAGCCCTCCAAATTCTTTCTGCAACCCTACTGCTCTGTGCATGCAAAAACTCTGGGAAGGGTGGTTGTGGAGGAGTCTGGCAGTGCGGCCCTTGCCTTATGCTGTTCCCAGCCCCAACCCAACCCCACTTGGGCCAACGGCTCTGCTCACCTGTGCCAGCTCCGTGTGCATGGCCTCCTTCCTCCTTATCACCTGCCTTCCATTATTTGCAGATAATTATCTGCAATAACCAGCCAGTTACCCTTAAAGACAATTATATTCTCTCTCTTTTTTTTTGATACAGAGTCTCGCTCTATTGTCCAGGCTGGAGTGCAATGGCATGATCCTGGCTCACCACAACCTCTGCCTCCAGGTTCAAGAGATTCTCTACCTCAGCTTCCCGAGTAGCTGGGATTACAGGCTCCTGCCACTGCGCCCAGCTAATTTTGTATTTTCAGTACAGACAGGGTTTCACCATGCTGGCCAGGCTGGCCTTGAACTCCCAACCTCAGGTGATCCTCCCGCCTTGGCCTCCCAAAGTGCTGGGATTACAGGCGTGAGCCACCACGCCTGGCCAACAATTATATTCTTCTATCAGCAAACATTGATGTTCTTTTCTTACATCTTTTAATGAAGCTGACATTAGGGAGATGTTTCATTTTCATAAAGTCAAACGGCTGCCTTTTAAGAGGGTTTGGGTTCCATGTTAATGTTTCAAAGCCTTAACTAGGGGATGGGTGTTTGGTGGAAGTAGAAAAGGAATTAGGAGGACTTCTTCCCTGTTGGTCCAAGAGGAGCTGCTTTGAGAGGTCAGATGCCCAGGGGACCCGGTACAGCGTGCCAGCCCCCCTCCCCAAGCTAATGAGCTCTAAAAGTATCAATGCGATGAGCTCAGCCCTGCAAGTGAAATCATTCAGCAGTGCTGCTCTCATAGCTGTGCCTGCCTCTCACTGACCACGGCTTAAATCCTCCCTCCCTGCAGCCACCTCTGGGGACCTCCAGAGCTAATTGCTTCAGGGAGCTTCATTGAAATGAAGCACCCTCAGCTGCTCATAAAAGCTTTATCGTGGGCGAAGGCTGACCCAGACGGAACAGTAGCATCTATCTCCCAGGTCAGGGGGCCAAAGGCGCCGGCCGAGGCAGGATCTAGGCTTACAGAAATAACTCGGTTAGGTATTAAAAAGCCGGGGGCGGGGGAAGAGGCTGTAATTTTATCTCTTCCCGAGTGCCCCTCTCTTTACAATTTGGGCCTTACCTGGTGACTATGTGTACTTGAGTCACTCATTGTGGGCCAAACAACCTCAAGATGCAATTTCTTTCAAAGGTAGAAAAAAAATAAATAAACGAAAGTCTGCTCCTGCTGGGTTTATAAAGAGCTGTTTTCTTCCTGAGCTCTGTGGCATGGTGGCTGTAATCCGGAATTTCTTTTTAATCATAGCAGGAGTCCCAATTAGCGTGTTGGGTAATCTTTCAAGTAGAACTGGGAGCTCCGTGACCATAGAGAGCCGAGGAAATGTTACATGTGAAGAAGCTCTGGAGGGACAGGGCCGAGAAGGCAGTGCTGTCAGGCCGGTGCACACACGTATGTCAATCACGTATGTCAATCACGTATGTCAATCAACGTGCATTTGCAGGCTGGATCCCAGTCCCAAGAGCAGGCGTGTGCACCCTGGGTTTCTTGACCCCCAGTTCTATCATACCTGGACCAGAAGGAACGTATGGAGTGTACGTGGTGTTCCCCTTGGTGCAGAAACCCCAACGCTGCCCCGTCCGTGAGCCAGCATGCCAACATACAGGCCATGCACGCATACCTACCCCTTCCCGCTAAGAACACAGGGCAGGAACCAAGCTGCATGTGTGAGGCTGTGGCGCAGAGTTTGGGGCGCCCCCGGCTCTCCATGAGATGGGCCGCAGCCCCGGACTCAGCTGGCACCGGGGCCCAGCTCCGATCCGGTACGCCGGTGACCTACTTTCCTTTGTTGTTGTTTTTGGAAGTGCTGATGTCAATGCAGAATTCAGCAGAGAAGCTGAGTGAGAAAAAAAAAGAGAAGGGGGTAGAGAGAGAAGAAGGGAAAGAACCAAGGGCAGGGAGAGCGCCAGATAGGGATGGTGGTGGCAGGTTCTCTGCAACAGGGCTAACCTCCTACTGCCACTGTCCCTACAGGGCCCGCCTACTGCCACTGTCCCTACAGGGCCTGCCTACTGCCACTGTCCCTACAGGGCTAACCTCCTACTGCCACTGTCCCTACAGGGCTAACCGCCTACTGCCACTGTCCCTACAGGGCCTGCCTACTGCCACTGTCCCTACAGGGCCCGCCTACTGCCACTGTCCCTACAGGGCCTGCCTACTGCCACTGTCCCTACAGGGCTAACTGCCTACTGCCACTGTCCCTACAGGGCTGACTGCCTACTGCCACTGTCTCTACAGGGCCCGCCTACTGCCACTGTCCCTACAGGGCCTGCCTACTGCCACTGTCCCTACAGGGCTAACCTCCTACTGCCACTGTCCCTACAGGGCTGACTGCCTACTGCCACTGTCCCTACAGGGCCCGCCTACTGCCACTGTCCCTACAGGGCCCGCCTACTGCCACTGTCCCTACAGGGCCTGCCTACTGCCACTGTCCCTACAGGGCTAACCTCCTACTGCCACTGTCCCTACAGGGCTAACCGCCTACTGCCACTGTCCCTACAGGGCCTGCCCAGTGGGTCTGGGAGCAGCCTGGCCCCGTGGCTTTGGGCTGAGTAAACAGGGAAGAGGCTTCTTCCCCCTTTCGATGCACAAGGGGCAGAAGGTGCTGGCCAGGCAGGCATGCCCAGAGGTGCCTTCCCTCAGAGAAGGAGCCATGCGCCGTAGGGCACCTCCCTGCGCTCTCCCCAGGTGCCTGGAGGTGCCAGGTGCACCTCCATCTGTCACACCATTGGAAGATGCCGAGCCGCAGCCACCCTGACGGCTGGGACTCGGTGGAGGCTCCCTACACTCGCTGGGGCTGGAAGAAATTGGTCTTTGGGGATTCTGAAGGCAGCTTCCTCTATTCTCTTGCTCCTTGGTAACCCACATGACAGAGCTCCGCCGGCAACTTGCCTGCTCACACCTCCCGTTCGCAGGTGCCCCAGGAGAGCGGCAGGGTTTGGGGCGAGATGAGCCCAAGACTGCCCCAAATGCACGGCAGCACACTGCGGAGGACGTACTGCCCGCCCCTCCCTCACTGCCTGGCTTTCTCATGCTATAGTTGGGGTTGAACTCTGGCCCTGCGGTGACTCTGCCCTTTCCACCCATTCGCAGAGCCCAGCTGCTACTCCACGGTCCCTGCACCGGCTGCTGCACAGACCCGCGGCCGCAGCCTCAGGCTGAACCCTTCCTCCGGACACTTGGCCGACAGTTACTTCATGATCAAACCATTTCAGATCCACACTCTCCTGAAACTCAAGGCTATAAGCCTTGTGATTCCACCTGTATAACACAGCCCCCCAGCCCAGGTTTTTTTTTTTTTTTAATCCATGTACCAAAGGGACTCCGTTCCAGTGGGGCTGGGACCTGGAGTGTGTCAGCTTCTCCTCTTTCCCTCTTGGATGCTTCAGCCCCCAAACAAGCTTGGTAAAGGATTAAGGTCACTCTCTCCAGCTCCATAAGCTCATACATTTTTCAAGCAAAGAAATATACAGAGGAGACAAAGCCCTCATATGCTGGAATTACACCCCGAAAAATAGGTTACCTGACAATGACTTGTTTCTAAGTGGAGCAGACGTTTCTAGCGGCGGAAGCATTGGCTGGGTTGCCGGAGCCGCCACCTTTTCCTCCCAACTTACTGCCTCTTAACCTCGCCCAGTCCCCGGGTTTAGAGCCGGGATAATAATTCTCCCCACCTCCATCCTCCCTGAGCTGGTGGAAGGTGTAATGAATCAACATCTGAAGCACTCTGAAGAGGCCGAGTTCGGGGCGCTGAGTACACAGCATCACCAGCCACCTCTCAAATCTACATCGAGCTGATTTATTTACCTCCCAAGAAAGAGACAACAATCATCATATTTACACTTCACGCTCAGCTTTGTGCATTTCCCCACATCACCCCTCCCTCTGCCATTGCTAAGGACTCCATTACAGATGCTGCTTTTCCACGGAAGAGACGTCCCCTCTCCCAGCATCTCTCTCTTGTCCTGAGGGTCACAGCCTTCTTCCCCAAATCACAGTCTGTTGCCACAACAGTGGCAAAACGTGCCGCCCCACGGTACACAGGAGGCCACAGCCTCTCCCCAGGAGGCTGAGGAAATGGATTCCATAGCAAAAGAGGAAGTCAAATGCTGCCAATAATTAAGAAGCGAAGCAGAGGTGCATGAAAGGTAAATGGAAGTCATTTAAATGTTGCATCATTTAAAGAGTGCCCTAGCGCCCGGGTCCCTCATTACCACGCAGGGCCGCAGACTGGTAGCAATTAGGCTGGCACAGGTAGGACCACCCCACTGAGAAGTGGGGGGATCGCGGCACACCTGCCAGTGATTGCTGCTGGGGGCAGCATTTGACTTCCCTTCTTTCTGGTTTTTGACAGCCCCCTCATTTTCAGCAGCGTTCCATCCTTGGTGCTCTCACACAGTAAATAATACTGCAAGAAAAAAAGAAGAAGAAAGAAAGAATGAGATGAAAAGGTTTAAAAGGTTCTGCTAGGCCGGGCGCAGTGGCTCACACCTGTAATCCCAGCACTCTGGGAGGCCATGGCGGGTGGATCACAAGGTCAGGAGTTCGAGACCAGCCTGGCCAATATGGTGAAACCCCGTCTCTACTAAAAATACAAAACTAGCTGGGCATGGTGGTGCGCACAGGTAATCCCAGCTACTTGGGAGGCTGAGACAGAAGAATTGCTTGAACTCAGGAGGTGGAGATTGCAGTGAGCTGAGATTGTGCTGCTGCATTCAAGCCTGGGCAACAAAGCAAGACTCTGTCTCAAAAAAAAAAAAAAAAAAAAGGTTCTTCTTGGTTCCGAGAATTAGAAAGGCTGCTGCTCCTTGGACATCGAGCCTGGCTGGGAGAATCTCGATGGATGTTCTGGAGCGACAGGGTCCCATACAAGAGCATCTTAGGTACCACCTGCCAGGCAACAGGATAGATGGACCCTCGCTCCTCAGAGCAAAGGCCAGGGGCTGACTCCCCCACACCGACGGTAAAGGGGCTATCAGCAGAGGCCTCCTAAAAATGTCTCTATTTCCATACTAATCCTGGGTTGCACTGAGAAGAGACGCTTCTGTCTAAAAAGCAGGGCAGGCCCATCGAAGCTCAAAGAACCACACCCAGGGGTTCTGCTGTTCTCCTAGGAGAAAGCAGGGGGCTGGGGACGGAGGCAGCAGTGGATGGGATGGAACTGCCCAGCATGCCACCTGCACGGCCCGCCTCTAGACCCCCTGCAGGCTGATCTTCAGCTCCTGGAAGACAATGCCGGCTCCAAAGGGATGTCACTGCTGGGCCTTCCAGCTTCTCTCCCCAGTGCTCTCCAGATCAAAACCCCCAAACTCGTTAACTAGAAAGTTTGCTGAGGGAACAATACATGCTGAGGTGCAGGATGTGGTGCCAACTCTCTCATTAAAGTGGCCTTTCCCCACGAGAACTCACTGCTGATGACAATGGGTACTTGGCCGCTGCCATTTCAGAGTCAGAGGCTGACGGGAGGAGAGGAAACAGCTGGGTCCAGGTCAAAACAGATCAAATTTATGGCTGGTGGAATGTGGCTGAAAGCTATTTACTGCATGCTTGGTGCCACTATTTTCTTTCTTTCTTTTTTTTTTTTTTTGAGACGGAGTCTCGCTCTGTCCCCCAGGCTGCAGTGCAGTGCTGCGATCTCGGCTCACTGCAAGCTCCGCCTCCCGGGTTCACGCCATTCTCCTGCCTCAGCCTCCCGAGTAGCTGGGACTACAGGCGCCCACCACCACGCCTGGCTAATTTTTTGTATTTTTAGTAGAGATGGGGTTTCACAGTTTTAGCCAGGATGGTCTCGATCTCCTGACCTTGTGATCCGCCCGCCTCGGTCTCCCAAAGTGCTGGGATTACAGGCATGAGCCACTGCGCCCAGCCGGTGCCACTATTTTCAAAAGGTGATTTTTGAAAAGGTTGTTCTTCCAGTTGCTGATGTGCCTTTTGTGTGTGTCTGTGTGTGTGTGTGTGTGTGTGTGTGTGTGTGTGTGTGTGATGGGAGCCTGTGCCCAGGGCCCCGTGCTCCTCGGAGCTGGATCAGATGCCGATAAGTGATAAGAACCCCAGTCACTAAGGGTGCAGCCATACCTGACGCAGAAGAAGGCACTGGGGGGTGAAGGAAGGCGAGCTGGGCCGTGAGGATTCGAACCCGACAGCCCCGGAGTGAGGGATCCCAGTTACGAATGAATACAATGGAAACCTGAGTGAACCCACGGCTTCTCCACTGACCCAGCCGAAAGGACACAGGGTAATTCAAGATGACAGACACAATAGGCTGCCTGTGTTCCCGGGGCTGCCGAAACAGACGACCGCAAACTGGGTGGCTGGAAACAAGAGAAACTCATTCTCTCCAGCTCTGGAGGCCAGAAGTCTCAAATCAAGGTGTTGGCCAGTTCGTTCCTTCTGGAGGCTCTCGGGGAGAATCTGTTCCATGCCTTTCTTTTTTTCTTGTCTTTTTTTTTTTTTGAGATAGGGTCTCACTCTGTCACCCAGGCTAGTGTGCCGTGGCATAATCATGGCTCTGGAGGCTCTGCCTCCTGGGGCTCAAGCCATCCTCCCTCCCCAGCCTCCCTCCTGAGTAGCTGGGACTACAGGCATGTGACACCACGGCTACATTTTTTTTTTTTTTCAGAGCTGGGGTCTCGCCGTGTTGTCCAGGCTGTGTTCTGTGCCTTTCTCTTGGCCTCTGGTGGCTGCACACAGTCTTTGTTGTTCCTGGGTTTGTAGGAATACCCCTCCAGCCTCTCTGCCTGTCTTCACGTCCCCTTCTCTGAGCGTCCTGTCTCCTTCTTCTGTTGTCCTAGAAGGATGCTTGTCATTGGATTTAGGGCCCACCCTAGCCAGGATGACCTCGTCCTGCAGTCCTTAACATAAACACATCGACAAGGACCCTTTTTCCCATCAAGGTTTCATTCACTGTTTCCAGGTGGACGTATCTTGTGGGTAGCCACCGTTCAACCTACTGTGATAGCCACAGTGACCCAGAGAACTGCTCCCAGGACAAAGCCTTCTCTCTCAGCCCCCACTGGATCCTGTGCTGTGAATGGGAACTTCCCGGCCACCCCTTGGGTTACCATAATTTTGGTTTTTTGTTTGTTTGTTTTATTTTCTTGAGACAGAGTCTCGCTCTGTTGCCCAGGCTGGAGTGCAATGGTGTGATCTCGGCTCACCGTAACCTCCGCCTCCCGGGTTCAAGCAATTCTCCTGCGTCAGCCTCCCGAGTAGCTGGGATTACAGGCGCCCACCACCACGCCCACCTAATTTTTGTATTTTTAGTAGAGACGGGGTTTCGCCATGCTGGCCAGGCTGGTCTCGAACTCCTGACCTCAAGTGATCCGCCCGCCTCAGCCTCCCAACGTGCTGCGATTACAGGCGTGAGCCACTGTGCCTAGCCGAGTAACTGTAATTTTGGATCCATAACAAAGCCACAGGGGCATTGGACCTTTCCCAAAGACAGGCCACACCTGCCTAAACCATGTCCCTGTCTCAGAGGGTCACTCAGCCCTGAGTCCCTTCTCGTTGAGGCGGTTTCTAAAGTGGGAGACCACAGCAGAGCATCTTGCCCACAAGGCACCCTCAGGGAGGAACGGAGCCAAAAGGGAAGTCTGAGCCAAGCACGGGAACCAGGGATGCTCCTCCTCACGTGTCCTCACCGGAAGCTCGCAGTCGCCAGGGCCAAGCACAGGGCTCTGCTCCTACAGGGGGCTTTGCAGACGTTTACCAGCCTTTTTTTACCAGCTCATTCTCCTCTGAAGCAACCTATTATGTCGCAGGTTGCTTCTGATCATTAGAAAGCACTTTTTTTGGTTGAGTCAAAACCAACCTGCTTGCAATGCTGTTCACCCACTGTCCCAAAGTTGCCTTCAGGAGCTCTAAGAAATGACGGTCACCACCAGACTCCAGACGCTGCCTCATGCTAATCACCTGAAGGCATGAAAACATCCCCCCAGAGGTCCCAGGGCGCCAGCAGCTGGGCCAGACTGACCAAAGGAATTTCCATTTTTCCTTGAGCGTGGATAGCAACCATCACTGCATTTTAAAAAACATAGCCCACGTCTCCCAGAATTAGCTGCATAAAAGAAAAAAAAAAAGGTTAGCCCACGATACGCTAGGTGTTTTATGTATGATATTTCTAATTCTTACAACTGGCCTGGAAGGCACGCGTTAATATCATCCTTGCTTTACACACGAGGGAATAAATTCTGAGGTCAGGTAAATGGAAGATGGGGGATTTGAACCCAGATCTGCCTGACCACAGTCCTCACGTTGTCTTTCTCCCCACGCTGCCTCCCTCATGTGCAAAGGAACAGCCTATTTTCTACGCCTGGGGGCCGGAAAGTGGGGAAAGAATGAGTGTCCTCAAAGGAGGGTGAGGATAAAGCAGAAACTCCACTTTCATATCTAAACTAAGCAATCATGTTTTATTTCCATTTCCCTGAACATATAGTTCAGTTACAAGGTTTAAAAAAAAAATACAACGGGTTCTCGAGAAATGTCAAGTATTACATTTCAGCGGACGTGTACAGAACAATCAAAATGATGGACATCCCCAAACAGATGCAAACCTTCACCAAAGTCTCTTCCAGAGGCACATCACTGAGATTTGAAAAGAGCAGCTCATGGATCGGACCCGGTTGATTTTCCTCGTATGTGAGCTTCATACATCCAAACTCTGGTTCACCCAGAGGAGAAAATATAATAATTATGATTCCTTGCACATTTATGGACTGTTTTATGTTTTTTCTTTCTCACAAATTACTGCATTTGATCCTCACTTCCGCCCTGTGAGATGGGAGAGACAACTGTCCCCCTCGCTGCACATGTGAGGACATCAGGAGGTGCAGGAGTCCCTGGAGGAGGGCAGGAGGTAAGCAGGTGTCCTCTTTCCTCTGCTCTGCTCCTTGCAGGAGGCCCACTGTCCCCTTTCCTTTTTTTTTTTTTTTTTTTTTTTTGAGATAGATCTGGCTCTGTCACCCAGGCTGGAGTGCAGTGGTGTGATCTCGGCTCACCGCAACCTCCGCCTCCCGGGTTCAAGGGATTCTTGTGGCTTAGCCTCTCGAGCAGCTGGGATTACAGGCACGTGTCATCACACCCAGCTAATTTTTGTATTTTTAGCAGAGATGGGGTTTCACCATGTTGGCCAGGCTGGTCTCGAACTCCTGACCTCAGGTGATCCATCCTCCTTGGCCTCCCAAAGTGCTGAGATTACAGGCATGAGCCACCGTGCCCAGCCCCACTGTCCCCTTTCGAGCTTTAGAGTTCCCCAAAAAAAGTTGTGGCCATTGCGGGCATGGTGGCTCACGCCTGTAATCCCAGCACTTTGGGAGGCCAAGGTGGGTGGATCACCTGAGGTCCGAAGTTCGAGACCAGCCTGGCCAACATGGTGAAGCTGTCTCTACTAAAAATACAAAAATTAGCCGGGCGTGGTTGTGAGCACCTGTAATCCCAGCTGCTCCGGAGGTGGAGGCTGAGGCTGGAGAATTGCTTGAACCCGGGAGGCTGAGGTTGCAGTGAGCCGAGATCATGCCATTGCACTCCAGCCTGGGCAACAAGAGCGAAACTCCATCTAAAATAATAATAATAAAAAAAAAAGATGTGGCCATTGGAGATCCCACCAAAGAGTTGATGTAGAAAGAGAAGATGGAAAAGGGAGAGGAAGGACCATGGCAATTCCCAAGAGAGGAGCTATGGTATCCCTAAAGCCAGAGACCCGATTACAGCTTCTGTCAGGGACACTAGTCAGCAAGAGCAGCCATGCTCCCCCCAGAAGGAGGAACCAGAAGCCTTTTGAAATGGAATGTTCTTCCCGCTTGCGGGACCTTTTCCTTGGGACCCCGAGCCTGCCCTCAGCAATGACGGTGTTGGCCCAGAGAGATCTGAAAGCTGGCAGAAACTAGTCCTCTCTGGTGTGTCTGTGGCCAGAACACAGCATAGCTGCAGGTGCTTCTTGGAGGTCATATTGGCTAATGAATGAAGGTTAGCAGCTAAACACCGAAAGAAAGGGCACTGAACTTTACTCTGCTACTACTTTGCTTCTAAGTAAATACTTTGGGGATTGCCTCACTTGCTCATCAAATACCAGCAGTTCCACTGAATGACAAGCTGACGGCCCCCAATGGGCCTTCATAATACATGAGTAGACTCATTCTTCCTTGAGATGGTCAGGCTGGCCTTTGCCTCATGCAAAACTCCCAGGACATAGAAAAGCTTAACAGCCACACCTCAAAAAATTCTGTGGGCTTCATAATTCCCACCCAGAAGGGAACTGGCTCCTGCAACAATGGATCCCCAGAGCTTGGCCCCTTCCCCCATGGCCTGGGGGCACCTTCCTACAGAATACCTCCTGGAAACCTATATTTCTATTTTGGGGGACCACTCTGCTCCTGCACACGGAGAAAGGAAGAGTTGAGGTTTCCATGGTCATTTTTCGTTACAGTAATGAAAGTCTTGAAATGATCACAGAAGGAAAATTGGAAAATATGTCTCCTAAAAAGAGCTGAGGCAAATTATTATAGCAACCGAATCCTAAAAGGAATTTTCAAGTAAAAATATGGCTCATGTGAAGTTGTTATGGCAACTGACATTTAAAAGTAACTGGATTTGGGCAAGTTTCTTTCCCCACCCTCTCTGCAAAGTCTTGCAGTAACTTCATGCTAAAATTATGCCTTAATTTTAATTAGCCAAATAGGTCATAAATATAGCATATTCCCAAATCCTTACAATTTCTACCCTGTGAGCAGCTGATCTACTAATGAGAAACTGTTTCTACAAAAACCCACTTACCATTAACACGCCTATGCAATATTTTTCTAATATAATTTATCAATTTAAACACATTGCATAATGTGATATTCTGTAGCATTCTATTAACATGATAAATAGCAGTGGGCGGGGGGGAAGCCCAAGAGATTAAACATATTGCAAGCAATGTAACTGCATTTAAATAACTCAGACCACTGCCGAGGAAAACACACTGTTCCCATCGTCAAATACAGTCTAAACTCGGCTGCATATCCCAGACTGTACGGGTATTAATAGGACGGGAGAAGGGGGGCAATAAGAAATGACAGGCAACTTCAAAGAAATAAAATTTCTATTAGGCTTTGTTATAAGATTACATCAAAGCAGTTCATATGTTTTAATCTGGGGAGAGAAGAAGCAGCTACTTGGGGTTTGCGCCTGGGGGCTGCCTCTGTGTACTGAACCAGACAGTTTGCATAATGAACAATTTTCATTCAACCAGGATTTCAGCACAGATAGCTCCCTCTGCAAGGTCCCAGGCACAGGCTCATAGTTTTTATTCTCCCAGCTCCACCTGCTGGAGAAACAGCTTGTAACCGGGAGGAAGGGGACACAGGGCAGCGTTTCTAAGCCACGATGCTAAATTCGGGTGTCTGAAGTTAGGGATCTGACTTTAGACACCCCGACCCGCCGCGCCCCGCCGACAGGGCCTCTGTGAGACACCCCAGGGCGCAGCCTGGATCCGCCCCTGCAGCCGGCAGGGAAGGCGCGGGCGGGGGGTGGGGGTCCAGGCCTGACACCTTCGCCCCTCCCAGCGCCTCCGGAATTAGGGAATTTGGAAATCGTCGTTTGCATTCTGAGTCGAACCCCAGGGAGAATGGAGTTGCTGCAAGGCAGGTCGCCTCGAGAGACTGGCGGACAAGGTGGCTGGCTTCAAACACCAAACGCGGTTCCCACCTGGCCAGTCACCTTTCAAGTTTCCCAGCCACCCGGGTCTCCAGGAAATCAAACGGGGGAGAAAAACTGCCCGCGTGGAATTGCATTTTCATGCACAATGGGAAACCTAAACGCTGAGCAGATCGTCTTGAAAACCTGGCACAGCCGACGCAGGCTTGGAGGACGGGAAGTCCCGGGCGAGCGGCTGCTCCAGGACTCGGGGCTGCGGCCTAATCCGCGCTGATCCCCGGGCTTAGCGCGCGCCCCTCCCCGGCTGAGGTCGCGGGACCCGCAGGCCCCACCTGGCTGTGTCCCCTTGGGGAGGCCGCCCGGGAGGGGAGGTGACATCAAGCCGCGTGCAACTGTTTTCGAAAACCTGGGATGATCATTTAAATGTTTAAAATATGCACATGGTAATTCAAAACTAATTACCCTGAGCACATTTGAAACATTTATGCCATCGTCTCTGGATCCTGCCTACTGATTGTGCGCGGCGGCTCACTCTGCTGTTTCTATAAACTGCTTCAGCGATTTTAACTTCCAGGCTAAATCCGGCAGCGCAGGCTCTGCCTCCCGCCCCTGGTTGGTGGAGAGACCCCTTTCCTGACTTCCAGGAGAGGAGGCTGCACCCCGTTTCCCTGGAGAGCCATTTGTCACGGTCTCGCAGCTCTGGCTACGGAATCCCTGCCCTCGTTGTGTTCATAATGGTCATTTCCATTATTTAATTTAGGTTAAAATGACCTCTCTCCCCACCTATTCCTTTTCTTGTTGTTTTCTCCCCATTTCCCCTTCCTCTGTCTTGGCACGTGGCCCCCATCTCCTAATGACACCCCACCCGGCCCCTTCTCCATTTGGGGGTGCGCATGGAAGGCTTTTGGGGGTTGGGGGTGCACATGGAAGGCTTTTGGGGGTTGTAAGGTGGCCACATCTACCAGCCACCCTGAGAAGCAGGACTGAACTGGGCCAACCTGGGCGAACAGCGGCCACTGCCGGGCACGTTATAGTGGCTGCCAGGGCACACACGTGCACATGCCACACACACGTGTGCACACACACCATCCACGTGCACGCATGCCTCAGACACGGAGCCAGGCCTGCTTACGGACTGGACTAATTAGACCTAGGCAGGTCCTGAAGCAAATTCACTTTCCCAATTTCCAGAATAAAATGAGTTCTCTTCCTTTGGGGGCACTAAACCAGCATGCCGGGCTCAGGGACGGAGAATGGTGATGTGTGGCTGAAACGACCTGACTTCCCAAGTCTATCCGGAGAGACTGACCGAGGGCTGGGATTGGAAGAGGCGCCATTCCGGAGTCCAGAAATTAACATAGGCTTATAAATATGTTCCAGGACACAGACGAGCGATGACTGGTTCCTTATTATGCGAAGATGCCAGTGGCAGGTTTTAGGCGTTTAGGAATACAAAAGTGGGTTAGATTCCCACGGCCGGCTCCAGTGTGATAGAGTGATATTACCAGGTTTAACTAGAGCCATTAAGAGACTCTTCATTATCCCCACACCACCGCCACCAAAGTTATCACAGAAACCATAATGCAAGAGAGAATTTCCATTCCATCAACAAGAGAGGGAGCCAGTCTATCTTTGTCCAGAGAAAATGAGCATCCCAGCACGAAGCTCGTGAGGAATAGAGTGCACAACCCTCCAATAACATGCCCGGCAGGATTTCCTCAGCTATGCAGTTGGCTAAGCGGAGGCAGGCTGCTCCGGCTCTATCTTCTCGTGTACCTGGCCTGCAAGAATGCCAGCTCTATGAGCAGCTGAAAGATCAATTAGTGACAAAGGACACTCCTAGGACTTACATTCCACAGGGCTTAAGTCTTAAGCTCCAAGGAAATGAAGATCCAGGCCGCCCTCCCAGTGTGCAGCAATCTCATTTATTTTTCTACAAAGACTCACCACTCAAACCAAGCTAATTTTCTTGGTATCACCTGCACCTGGTTTACTGGCTCCTGAGCAACGTGCCAGTCCTTCAGTTTGAAATGGACTTTTCTTCCAGCCGATCCTTTTTTTTTTTTTTTTTTTTTGAGACGGAGTTTCGCTCTTGTTGCCCAGGCTGGAGTGCAATGGCGCGATCTCGGCTCACTGCAACCTCCGTCTCCTGGGTTCAAGCGATTCTCCTGCCTCAGCCTCCCGAGTAGCTGGGATTACAGGCATGCACCACCACCCCGGCTAATTTTGTATTTTTAGCAGAGACGGGGTTTCTCCATGTTGGTCAGGCTGGTCTTGTACTCCCGACCTCAGGTGATCCACCCACCTCGGCCTCCCAAAGTGCTGGGATTACAGGCGTGAGCTACTGCGCCCGGCCAGCCAATCCCTTTTTTGCAACTTCACGATGACAACTCATAGGTTTTTTGTCTGCCTCCACCAGACTGTCCGCTCTCCTTCACTGGACTCCCTTCACACACCACGTACTCAGCATCCTCTGTGTCACTCTGGTTTTGCTTATAGAAAGTGCTCTTCCATTTTGTGAGGCTCCCCCCCCGCCATGGACGGATAATGAGAAGGGACCAGGTCTTCTATTTCCTTCACATTTCTTGTGTCACCTCAAGTATCTTCTCACGGGACAGACACCATGTCAGATATACGGAGGACCCAGTTTTATAGCTGAGCCCCACGAGACGACCCAGCACACCCCCATACACACAGCAAAAATTGCCCCCCTCATTCAGATGTTCCTGGCATCCTGTAACTTGCCCAAAGCTAGATTTATTGCTCCTGCTGTAAAGTGTATCTGCTCTAAGCCTCACTTAAAAGCTATCACTTGGCAGAAGATCAAGTTAAAAGTGCAGGCTAGCAGGTGATGGTGAGGGTAGGAGAGGGTGGGGAGGGCGGGGTGGAGCCAAGAATGGAAGCGCTGAGAACTACCAGCCCAATATTTAACCTAACTGGTAATTTGCTGTGACAATTATGCCACAAACGGAACACTACCACTATGCAAGGATGTCGCTCTCTAATTAAGAGGGCTCTGCTTTTCCTAGTCACCGGCACTTTAATAACACACACACAAAATGAGGCTTGGCTGCGGGAGCTCAAGGTTCTATTAGGAGGCACGTGCAGCATGCGGCGGTGGCCTGCACATCGGTCTGAGCGTTGCTGCCCGGTGAACCTGCTAACACCTTCAATTCTCCAGCAGACGGAGATGGAAGGGAACCGAGCAGTCAGACGCTCTCACGAGAGAGCCGCTTTGACTGACAGGCGTTTTCCCGGAGAGCCTGCGCGTGCCCCCACTGCAAATCGACACTCAGGCAGCGCCTCTTTCCAACCAGGAAGGCTTGGTGTGGGTTTGATCCTTACAGAGTAACTTTAACAAGGATTTCCAAAAAAATAAAAGTCCACGGAAACAAATTTTCCTCTTCAAGATGGAGAGCAAGACAGAACAGGGACACACGCACACCCAGACACCCAAATTGCCAGTTAGAGACCCTGGTATGAGACAAAAGAATATTATTACCATCACGGCTGTAAAGGATGTTGCCGTCTTCTAAACTGACTGCTGGACTCCTGAAACGTGGCTAAGCAAGACAAACTGTTTTTTGCTTAATTAGTGGCTCCTTTGTGAAAGGTTTGCTGCCTGGAAAGAGCCCATTAGAGGAGGAGAGCTCATTTGCAGGGATGCACCTTATACAGCTATTCAGATTTTGAATAAATCGTGGAGCAGGAAATTGGTGGTGGTGGTGACGGTGGGAGTCGCCGTGTTATGGAAGCAGAAAAGCTTCTGCAAGAGACAGGCTTTGCATTACAAGCCTAAGTGCTGAGGAGATCAGCTTTCCCAGGCAAACATATAAGCCTCTAAAATTTTAGGCCAATGGAAATGACCTCTGTACCATGGCTGACTGAAGATATAAATAAACTTCAACATGAACAGCAGTGTCAACGGTGAGAGGAGATGAGAGTCCAACTGGGGCTTATTTTTAAAAAGTCCTGCCTGTTCTAACTCCATTTCAGGGCTGGGCATTGAAGAGCACAAAGCTGCAGTTCCCCGCGGCAAGCCCTCCTCTTTAACAGGCACCAGCCCCCTAGGTTACCTGGCCGTTGAAAGGAAGCTGCAACACACATAAGTTAAATATAGGTTTGGTTATTTGCATTTTACAAGCACCGAGAATGTTATCTGAGGAAGCTGTCATTTTTAATGACAGCACAAACTTCCAATTACCAACTGGGTAATGCACTAGGGAACGGGCATAATTTTATAAGAACGGCTCGCAATTATTAAAAGTTTACACGATCACTTCTGAGTTGGCTATATAAATATTTCTCACGAGGCAGGTGGGATTCAGTTTTTCACAGGGTCTATTCAAGGCTGAAAAAAAGATTTGTTTTATTGAAAAGTATACATTTTGAGACTCATCAACAGCTAAGGAGAGGGTGTAAAGCGACAGCTACTAAGAGCCTGAGAAGCTGCAAATGCAGCCAGGTGGCTGGTTCAAAGCCTCTCACAAACACCCACGAGCTCACTGGCAAGTCAGACACTGTCACGACAAACCCAATGCAGGTTAGGGGTATGGCAATGGATAACACAAGAACCTCTTACTGGCCGGGCACAGTGTCTCACGCCCGTAATCCCAGCACTTTGGGAGGCCGAGGAGGCCGGATCACCTGAGGTCGGGAGTTCGAGATTAGCCTGGCCAACATGGTGAAACCCTGTCTCTACTAGAAATACAGAAATTATCCAGATGTGGTGACACACGCCTGTATAATCCCAGCTACTCGGGAGGCTGAGGCAGAAGAATCGCTTGAACCTGGGAGGTGGAGGTTGCAGTGAGCCGAGATCGTGCCATTGCACTCCAGCCTGGGCAACAGAGAGAGACTCCATCTCAAAAAAATAAAAAATTAAAAAAAAAAAAAAGAAACTTTCACTCAGCCCATAGTCAAACACTGTCCTATTTGCACCAGGAACCCATTTCCGTTCAGTACCTCTACCCAGCCTCCGTGGCACCGCGTGGCTTCGTGTCAGTGACGAACACAGCGCATGCCACTGTTACCAGTGTTGCTCTCGGTCTGCCTCATACAGACCGGACAGCCCCGACCTAAATGAAGGCTCTAATCAGTGAGTCTCAAATCACCCAATTCTTTGTGAAGTCTTTCCTGATTGACTCCAGTCTTCCAGCAATTTCCCCCTCAACTGCATTTTAATATCACTGTGATATGACTACTTAGCCCCCAAGCCTTGCTCTAAATAGTCCATAGCTCTCAGGGACAGATATCTTTAAGTCACACACTGGCTGGGCGCGGTGGCTCACGCCTGTAATCCCAGCACCTTGGGAGACCAAGGTGGGCGGATCACCTGAGGTCGAGAGTTTGAGACCAGCCTGACCAACATGGTCTCTACTAAAAATAGAAAATTAGCTGGGCGCGGTGGCATATACCTGTAAATCCCAGCTACTCGGGAGCCTGAGGCAGGAGAATTGCTTGAACCTGGGAGGCAGAGTTTGCAGTGAGCCAAGATCACGCCATTGCACTCCAGCCTGGGCAACAAGAGCGAAACTCCATCTCAAAAAAAAAAAAAAAAAAAAAAAAAGTCACATACTAAGGCTGGGCGTGGTGGCTCACGCCTGTAATCCCAGCACTTTGGGAGGCAGAGGCGGGCAGATCACGAGATCAGGAGATTGAGACCATCCTGGCTAACACGGTGAAACCCCGTCTCTACTAAAAATACAAAAAATAAGCTGGGCATGGTGGCGGGCGCCTGTAGTCCCAGCTATTTGGGAGGCTGAGGCAGGAGGATTGCTTGAACTTGGGAGGCAGAGGTTGCAGTGAGCCGAGATTGTGCCACTGCACTCTAGCCTGGGTAAGAGTGAAACTCCGTCTAAAAAACAAACAAACAAACAAACAAAAAGACCCCAAAAAATCAGCTGGGCGTGCAGTAGTCCCAGCTACTCAAGAGGCTGAGGCAGGAGAATCACTTAAACCCAGGAGGTGGTGGTTGCAGTGAGCCGAGATCGCACCACTGCACTCCAGCCTGGGCGACAGAGACTCCATCTCAAAAAATAAAGTCACATACTGACAGGCTGGAACCATGAAGACGAGTGGCTACATACTTTTCTCAATGACTTTTCAAAACCATCATTACAAATATAATTACAAGACTTAATAATCATTAATAGCTTTAGATAATCAGGTTGATTTATAGGCAAGTCAAATGTATTCTCAAGAGGCCTTCTTTGCCAGGGTGGTGGGAAACAAGAGTTTCGCCTCTTCATAGGCACAGCCCCCGTCTGTGTAGTAGGCAGGATGAAACCAGGGCTCCAAAGCCTTCTTTTTCCCTCCCCTCCCTACATTAATCTACCTGCTTCCAAGGAAGGACCTGCTCAAATTACCTACCAGCCCTTGGTGGTACACAGGGTTAGAGGAGTTATCCCTGGACTTAGGCAAAGAAAAATCAATGAGAGAACCTAACAGAACAAGAAAAGGCATGGATTGTCAGTGCCACAAAGCATAAACGCTTCTGCTCGTGAAATCTTGAATTTATAACAATTAGAAAAAGTATAAGCATCCTGCAAGAGTGAATTGGCTGAAAACACATCCAAAGAGCCAAACACCACTTAAAATTATTTATCTAAAGCTATTAATGATTAGTAAATCTTTTAATTATGTTTGTGATTTTTTTGTTTTGAGATGGAGTCTCCCTCAGTCGCTCAGGCTGGAGTGCCATGGTGTGATCTTGGCTCACTGCAGCCTCTGCCTCACGGGGAGGGACTCTCTTGCTTCAGCCTCCCGGGCAGCTGGGATTACAGGGGTGAGCCACCACACCCGGCTAATTTTTGTGTTTTTAGTAGAGATGTGGTTTCACCATGTTGGCCAGGCTGCTCTTGAACTCCTGATCACAAGTGATCCACCTGCCTTGGCCTCCCAAAGTGTGGGATTATAGGTGTGAGCCACTGCACCTGGCCTAATGGTGGTTCTGATGCAATTTTTATCAAAATAAAGATGCCCATCCTAGGAGAAAATCATTACAAAATGATATGCTTACTATGCTACCATTTTTAATTTAAACTCTATACACATAGATACATAGAAAAAACTAGCCAGGGCCAGGCACGGTGGCTCACACCTGTAATCCCAGCACTTTGGGAGGCCGAGGAGGGCGGATCACGAGGTCAGGAGATCGAGACCATCCTGGCTAACATGGTGAAACCCCATCTGTACTAAAAATACAAAAAATTAGCTGGGTACGGTGGCACATGCCTGTAGTCCCAACTACCAGGCTGTAGTCCAGCTACATGCCTGTAGTCCCAGCTACTTGGGAGGCCAAGGCAGGGGAATTGCTTGAACCCGGGAGGTGGAGGTTGCAGTGAGCTGAGATCGTGTCACCGCACTCCAGCCTGGCGACAGAGCAAGACTCTGTCTCAAAAAAAAAAAAAAAGAAGAAAAAAGTAGCCAGCTACACAAGTGTTTATTACTGGTTGGTGAAATCCTAAGTAATTTTATTTTTCTTTTGCCTTTTTGAGATGGAGTCTCGCTCAGTCGCCCAGGCTAGAGTGCAGTGGTGCGATCTCAGCTCACTGCAGCCTCTGCCTTCCAGGTTCAAGTGATTCTCCTGCCTCAGCTGCCCGAGTAGCTGGGATTACAGGAGCCCACCACCACACCTGGCTAATTTTTGTATTTTTAGTAGAGGTGGGGTTTCACTATGTTGGCCAGGCTAGTCTCAAACTCCTAACCTCAGGTGATCCACCTGCCTTGGCCTCCCAAAGTGCTGGGATTACAAGGGAGAGCCACCGCACCCACCCTTTCTCCCCCTTTTTTTGAGATAGGGTCTCGCTCTGTCGCCCAGGCTGGGGTGCAGTGGTGCAATCATGGCTCACTGCAGCCTTGACCTCCCACGGCTCAGGTGATTCTCCCACCTCAGCCTCCCAGGTAGCTGGGACTACAGGTGTGTGCCACCACGCCCAGCTAATTTTTATTTTTTTGTAGGGACGGGGGTCTCCTTATGTTACCCAGGCTGGTCTCGAACTCCTTGGCTCAAGCGATTTGCCCGCCTCAGCCTCCCAAAGTGTTGGGATTATAGGCATGAGCCACTGTGCCAGGCCAATTTTGTTTTTCTTAACTGTAGATTATTTTCCTAAAATAAACATGGAGGCCGGGCGCGGTGGCTCACACCTGTAATCCCAGCACTTTGGGAGGCCGAGGCAGGTGGATCACAAGGTCAGGAGTTCGAGACCATCCTGGCTAACACGGTGAAACCCCGTCTCTACTAAAAATACAGAAAATTAGCCAGGCATGGTGGCACATGCCTGTAGTCCCAGCTACTCAGGAGGCTGAGGCAGAATCGCTTGAACCTGGGAGGCGGAGGTTGCAGTGAGCTGAGATCGTGCCACTGCACTCCAGCCTGGGTGACAGAGCAAGACTCCGTCTCAAAATAAATAAACAAACAAACAAACAAATATGATTACTTGCATAAGAAAGTCAATAGTCCAAATTATCCTTTTTTTTCTTAAACATTTACTTAATGTCTTAATAACAAAAATACCAGTTTTTTTGAATAAGTGAAAATTAAACATCTATGCTCTCTTTTTGAGGAACCGATGACTTCCAAAGGTGTTTATAAAAGCCAGAACTCTACCAGCGGAGTGGATATAAGACTAAGAGTTAACAAACCACATAAAAGGTGGCCGGGGAGTGGGGGGAATCTTCCCTTTGAGACAAGGAAACAATCAGTTTACTAGGGGAATAGTGGCCTTCTAACAGGTGAAAAGAAGAAAAGGAGACCAAACAACCTGTTTCATCCTCTATAAATAAAACCTTGGGCGGCATATTGCCAAAGAAACATGAGTCAATATAAACCTTTACATACTGGGCGGCCAAACTTCACTTTTGGACAGTATATTAATTATGTAGTCAATAACCATGGGTTTCATTAGTGTATTAAATACCACGATCAATAGTATTTATACTTTTTGAAGACAGCCCACTCAGGAAACAGAAGTGGGGGAGGGGAACATTTTTGACCCTGCAGTTCAAAAAAGGAACAGCACGCGAGAGATTAGCAAGGTTTTAATGGAAAGCATAAAACACTGGAAATATGGACAGAAATCAGATTATTACCCTTTTATTTTTTTCCCTGCCCCTTTCACAATGAGACTGGAGGGAATTCAAGAACCACTTGAAATAAAGGCGAAATGATTAGATTTTTTTCTCCTAATTGCCTAACGCTGATGTCATGGTGTACGCAAAATCAACATTGATCTCTAAGTGAAAGAGGAGAAACAGAACAACATCAACAGCCTTTCGAGGTAAACTGTGGGCCAGAATCTATTTAGGCAACCCGCAGGGACCAAAATCTCTGAAAAGCCCAACAGTGGAGCCAGTTTCTGATGCTCCTCTGCTGGTGATCTGATCTTTGAGTGGGGAAATCTGTTAGAAACAGCCTCCTCGAGGGAGCCCTCCCCCTGGCACTGCCCCTGGGTTCCCAATCACATCCACGGAGACGTGCTGGTTTCATCACGCTGGCCACTGAGAAGGCGCGAGGACAGGTGTCAGCGTTCCCTGGACACGTCCTGTCCTGGTACCACGGCTGGTCAGGCCTCTTCACTGTGTGGACAGACACGTGGGGAGAGGAGGGAATGCTGGGAGTAGTAGGCATGAAAGACTGGTTACTGGGCTGAAAGCTAGATCGCCACTTCCCAGCCACAATTTGTCAATCCAGAAGAGGGTTGAAGACTGTAATTTTCTCGTCGATGCTTTATAAGCAAGGTCAGACAGAAAAGAACTTCCGTAAAAATGGCTGAGGCCTCAGTCAGAGACTGAAATGCGACCCAGTTACCATCTCCTGAGACTAGAGAAGGGTAGGAAGGAATGTGTCTAAACAATTAGTGAGGCTGAGCAGGAGTCCCTCTGTGTCTGTCCTCAGGAACGGAAGTCATCCCGTCTAGGGCTGGCTGGCCCCTATGTCAACGGCAGACACCGAGGGGGGAGACAGACAGGACACCATCACTCCCCATATCCAAAAGCCTCCGCAGGCGGCATGTGCAGTGATGAACAGCAGGTCCTCTGGCTGCAGAGTGACCGCCGCACTGCCGGGGTACGACGGCGAGATGTGCGGCCAATGGCAGGCGGTGTGTTGCAGCCACCGGATAGATAATTAATATGATTAGGAACACACAGAGCGAGCATGCTTTTGCTGACTGAAAGGCCCACTAGCATAATTACTGTTTTCTTACCAGCTCACTGTCTGTACACATTTCAAAGCGTGGTTGGTGTTAGACTGCTGCGTAAACATCAATAAAATCCCAAGTGCCAGATCATCAGCATCCTCAGGCAAAATGGCTTTTTGTTTTTAGTGTTTTCATGCTTTGAAAGATGCATTTCAGGGCTGCAAACACTAGGAAGAAGGATCTCCATGCCTTGGACTAATCTTCGGGTTTATAATGAGTTAACATCCCCCCCAAGTGAACATTTATTATGAAGGCTAATTAATTGCTTTCCAGTTATAGGAACTCTTTGCATTCAAAGAAAGTAGGATTCACAACCAAAGAATATACTGTTTATTAAAACAAAGCAAGGGAAACAAAAGGCTTCAAAATCCTTTCCATGTAACATAGCTTTAGTCAAAAAAAACAAAATACATGAATGCAGGAATGTGTACAGGTAGAAAAAGTACGCACTCACCAAGCGAAGCGCAGCATTAATTGAAGTGAGAAGTAAAGAAACGCTTTGTAGCCGCTCGGATTTCCTTAGGGGACGGCAAGTCAATGCTTATCAGCGGTCCTCAGAAGAGACAATTTTGATTAATATCAGACCCATCTGACTCAGTCTATTAAACCCTGAAGGAAGGATACTCTTCAGATATAGAAGATATGCCTTTGATTAATCATTCTACCCTATTGCCATTCCAAGCATTACCAACTATGTAGCACCTCTAGAAAGAGAGAGCCTTCGAATTCTAGGAAGACACACTTACTAAAATCCCCAGGTGCTCATGACCGCTTCTCAGCTCGCCCCGCTGAGAAGAACCCAAGTTGTGAGCGGGGATGGGGGGGGGTGGTCACCACTGGAGAAGCAAAAACCTAGTTACATAATTTACTTCATGGTCTGCAGTTAGGGTCAGTGACTTACGACATAATTCCTGCTTGATGATAATGAAATTGACAGAAGCCTGAAGGCAGAGGGAGTGACTGGTCTTGCGCTAGCCACTGGCTGACTCCGTAGGCCTGACACAGTCTACACCACAACCACCTGAGCGTATTTTCCTTTGCCTACCGATGGGTTCTGAGATGCGCACGAGGGGGGAAATTGCTTAGTCCACCATCAAGAGCCTCTGCACTGTGTAGCTAACATGGGATCGTCACACGGAGGTGGGAGGAAATCGATTCCATTCTGCCTATTTGCAAACTTCTGCCCGATTGGCACTGCTCCTCTCACATCAATGCACTTCTCCTGATGCTCATGACCAGCCTTCGGCCATACTCTCTGTAGTCCACGGGCTTCACGTCCATCACAGTGGCCTTAATTCGAGACTCGTCCTTCAAAAAGGGAGAAGTAGTTTGTGAGCAGTGAAAGTGTGGTGTGGAGCAGTGAAACCCCTTTTGCTTCAGTGGTTTCAGTGAGCCCAGCGGGAGGGAACAGACGCACGGGTTCAGAGTTCAGTCATTCCAGTGAGTGACAGCCTCCTCCTGAATGTCTGGGGCTGGGCGAGTGAACAGGTCCTTTCTCCAGCACAGGCCCTTCTGATTCTTTACCCAAGCTCCCAAACACCCAGAAGCCTAGAATCCTAGTGAGATGGACTTTAGAGGGTTTCTCTAGTTTCATTTATTCTCCCTACTGCAGGGGATACAGCCCAGAGAGGACATGTGACTTGCACAAAGCCACACAGCTAGTTCTGAAAGCTAAACTTTCAAACTTTCATTTCAAGAAAAGCTGAGTGGTGAAAGGAAGAGCACCTGCAGCAGAGGGAGAGGACCGAGTCTGTCCTGTCTCAGCTCTGGGGAGGCAGCCTCTCTTCACTTCACCTTCCCTGTCCAGACACGATGGGGCTGAATGGCCCCAAAAATCCCCCCCAGCCCCACCCCACTCCCTGACATTGTTTCACGGTGACATCTGATCCCCTATCTCATTTAATGTTTATAGTAGTCGCAGAAGAACGGGCGTTAAGGTAAATACGTGAGTAAACCCTGCAATCAGCAGGGGCGTTTCTACCACTCCCCCTGCCCACTCGTACGTTTACACTCACGGCCTGAATGGTGCCTTTCCGGGCAGAACGGAGTGATACCCAGGAAGGCTGCACAGGCGAGCTCGGGGCTGTCACACTGCTGTGTGCTTGGTCGGTACTAAATCCCGTGATACTCGTAAGCATGATCAAAAGCAAAGCTCTGAAGTCAGGCTGCCTGGGTTGGACGTTAGCTCGACCACTTGCTAGCATACAACTTAGGCAAGTGACTTGTTCTCTGAATGCCCGTGTCTCTCTGTATGTAATTCCTTCAGTGGCAAAATAGGGTAACCACAGTTTCTACATATAGGGTTACTAGGCTCAAGTGAGATGTTCCACGTAAAGGATGTAGAACAGTTACCTGGCAGACCATGCTCAATACTGTTTGATTATAACTATAACTAAGCTGGGCGCGGTGGCTCATGCCTGTAATCCTGGCACTTTGGGAGGCTGAGGCGGGTGGATCATCTGAGGTCAGGAGTTCGAGACCAGCCTGGCCAACATGGTGAAAACTCCGTCTCTACTAAAAATACAAAAATTAGCCGGGCATGGTGGCGGGCGCCTGTAATCCCAGCTACTCGAGGGGCTAAGGCAGGAGAATCACTTGAACCCGGGAGGCGGAGGTTGTGGTGAGCCAAGATCGTCCCACTGCACTCCAGCCTGGGTGACAGAGACTCTGTCTCAAATAAATAAATAAATAAATAAATAAATAAATAAATAAATAAATACTATATGGTATTATGGGCAATTTCAGGAATTTTCAAGGTAGTTTTAACCACACGTGGCCTTTGTTTCATATACTGACTGACTGACTTAGAAACGGGGTTTCACTATGTTACCCAGGCTGGCCTTGAACTGCTGCCTCAGTCTCCCAAGTAGCTGGGACCACAGGCACACACCACCACGCCCGGCTCATATACTTAATATACTTTTCTACAATCTAAATTTGTCAAAGATATGACTCTACTGCATGCGTTATAATTTTTTTGTCAGAACACAGACGAAAAAATCCTAGGATTTAACTGAAAAAAAATAAAAATAAAAAAAATAAACAAACAAAAAAATCCATATTGTATTCCCCACCCCCCCGCCATTGTTTCGACAAGACACTTAAGCTCTCTCTCCTTCCTCATCTGAAAATGGGGATCATAACAGCACCTGTGTTGGGCAAAGTCAGCACCGGGGTCTGGCAGTGAGTACAGTAACTCCCTGCCAGGGAGTGTCACGACACTGCCGTAGGTGACAAACAGCACCTCCCCACCACCAACCCTGCTGCCCAGGCCCTTACTTACGTTGTAGGTCTCCACTTTGACCCTGACTCTGAATATGAAAGATCGGAAGTTGGCATTCTGGAAAACTTCTTCAAATGCCTGTTCATTCTGCAAAAACAAACATAAAACTTGACACATGGAAACCACTGGACAACTTGCAAATACTGATAAGACTTTTAAAAAGACTTCTGAAAATGCATCTCCTGGGTAGTTTCAAATTACTTAGGAATGACTCATCTACAGGTAACATTACATGAAACTGTTTTAAGTAGAATCTTATTGAAAATTAAAACACTAATCACATTCATAGAAGGTAGAATGGCAGTTGTCAGGGCCAGGGAGAAGAGGGTTTTGGAAAAGGAGCTATTGCTTAATGTGCAGAGTTTCAAATCGCCACCCATGAACAGTGTGTCTCCATTCTCCCCTTCCCTCCATCCTTGGAAAACACAAGGCTGTCGTCTGTCTCTATGAATTTGCCTATTTAAAAAAGTACTGGAAAAGGATGGTGGTGACAGGGGCACAGTAATGTGAATGTACCTAACGCCACTAAACTGTACACGTAAAAATGGTTACAAAGGCAAATTTGGTTATGTATGCTTTACTAGACACAAAAAATTAAAAACGCTCTTAGGAAGTTTCTAAGACTTTAAGGCTGGGCACGGTGGCTCATACCTGTCATCCCAGCGCTTTGGGAAGCGGAAGCGGGTGGATCACTTGAGGTTGGGAGTTCAAGACCAGCCTGGCCAACACGGTGAAACCCCATCTCTACTAAAAACACAAAAATTAGCTGGGCATAGTGGCAGGTGCCTGTAATCCCAGGTACTAGGGAGGCTGAGGCAGAAGAATTGCTTCGACCTGAGAGGCGGAGGCTACAGTGAGCTGAGACTGCACTACTGCACTCCAGCATGGGCTATGGAGCGAGACTCTCAAAAAAAAAAAAAATTAGGAGGTCAGGTATGGTGGCGCGTGACTATAATCCCAATGTTTTGGGAGACCGAGGTGGGAGGACTGCTTGAGGCCAGGAGTTCAAGAATAGCCTGGGGAACATAGCAAAACCCCATCTCTACCAAAAAAAAAAAAAAAAAAACTTAAGCCAGGTATGGTGGCGTGTACCAGTAGTCCCAGCTACTCAGGAGACTGAGGTGGCAGGACTGTCTGAGCCCAAGAGTTTGAAGCTGCAGTGAGCCATGATCGCACACCACGGCGCTCCAACATGGGTGATGAGGCAAGACCTTGTCTCAAAAAAAAGAAAAAAAGGAAAAACACTCAGAAGAAAGTTCAATATAATTCGTGATTTCAGCCTCTGTATTTATAGCTACTGATTTGGTGTGCAAGCAGAGAAGACTGTTGAGGTGCGCAAAGGCTAGGGAAGGCCTAAAAACAATCCTTTTCCCTCTCTCACTCCTCAAATGCAATTTAAGTTTATTAAAAAAAAAAAAGTCTGGTAAACAGACAAGAATTAGAGAATATAGTTTGTATAAAGATGCATAAATAAATGTGTAATAACTATATTAACAGAGTTGATTGAGACCTTTGACAAAAAAAAAGAAAAACTAATTAATAGTTCACACCAACCTAGTGTTTTTTGCAAGTCACGCACGGCGTGAAAGCAGCTTTGCTATACAGAACTCTTTTCTGTAAAGGTTACTTGATCAAAACCCAAACCCAAACCAAATGGACTTTCAGATATGAAAATAAAACAATGGGTTAAAGCTTGAGAAAATTACACCGGCTGCCATTATGCTTCCAAGATGAGGGGCGTGGAGTGCGAACTCCAGGATCTCACGGTTCCTCGGGGAAGTTTCTATATGTCCTCATTCACCGGCAGAAAAAACAGTCAAATATAATAAGCTCATAAAAATCCTGAAAGGCTTACTCGGGCCTTAAAATCTGATACGAAAATTGAAGACCAGGTAAAAACAGACAAAAGATACTATCACACTTTAAAGTCAATTCTAGTTATTTCTGTAACAGGATTTGTTGAGACTATTTTGAGAGCTCTCATGGACAATTTAAAAAAAGAGTCAGGGCAGAGCCCAAACAGACAGAACTGGGGACAGGAAGAAAAAGAAAAACACACCAGAACAAATGGCAAAGCCTTTCATCTTTGTGGCCTTTACAAGTATTCCAACCAATTTGGAGGAAATCGGGGGAAAAGCCATCTACAGAAAGGTGCCCATTTATGTGGCCCAGAAAACATAGCTTTTATTGGTCTTCCTTATGTTTTACCTGAGCAACTACCTTTCCTAAATTCAGCATTATTAGCAATCTATTCTGTACATTAAATAAACCTAATATGTGAAAATGCAAACTTATAAAAATGAAATGGACAAAGTTACCTTACGGAAGAAAGTCACCGCATAAGAATTGCATCTGATGGGCTGAAATGGCAGGCACCTTATATGTGCATTTATTATTATTGTTTTATAGGACAGACCCAGGAACTTGACATACGTGCATTTTAACCAGGATCTGACTCAACTTTTCTGGAAGGTATTTACTATGTTAAAAAAGCATGCCTGTAATAATTCAGGTTGTTTCAGGGACACCTCCCGACCTAAGTCATCTCAGGCACACTAGCTCTGATGTGCTAATAGGAACAGGAGAAACGGGTGGCTTCGATTTAGAAAGTGCTTTGGTTTTAAAGTACTTTTATATACATTATTTCACTGTTAAGCACATCCCAAATGGACAAGATTAGATAACATCAGATGAGCTCTTAAATAATTATCAGGCTGAGAAACTGTATACAAACAATACCAAAAAGAAACAAACTAAAAAATATTAAACAGCAAAAAGAGGGCCAGTGTTGGGCAAGGTGTGGTGGCTCACACCTGTAATCCCAGCATTTCGGGTGGCTGAAGCGGGCAGATCATGAGGTCAGGAGTTCGAGACCAGCCTGGCCAACATGGTAAAACCCCGTCTCTACTAAAAATACAAAAACTAGCCGGGCATCGTGGCGGGTGCCTGTCATCCCAGCTACTCAGGAGGCTGGGGCAGGAGAATCACTTGAACCCGGGAGGCGGAGACTGCGGTGAGCTGAGATCGCGCCACTGCACTCCAGCCTAGGAAACAGGGCAAGACTCCATCTCAAAAAAAAAAAAATGTGTGGGGTCAGTGTTATAGAATGAGAACCATTAAAAGTTATAGAAGTTATAATAAAATATGTGGCTGACCTTGTCTTTTAATTCCCCAAGATAAGCAGCATTTTGTCCAAGGATAGCTTCAGCAGACTCCTGGAAACAAGTCACCCACTGATTCTCTTGAAAATCTGCAATATTTACCTAAAAAACACAATTCTACATTATTTCAGCAAAGAAATAATAAAAAGACACACTGAGAAGATGGGGAGAGGTTAATGTTCTTTTTCCACTTATTAAAATAATTTCCAGAGAGGGCCAGGTGCAGTGGGCTCATGCCTGTCATCCCAGCACTTTGGGAGGCCAAGGCGGGTGGAACACTTGAGGCCAGGAGTTTGAAACCAGCCTGGCCAACATGGTGAAACTCCGTCTCTACGAAAAATACAAAAATTAGCCAGGCATGGTGGCGGGTGCCTGTAATCCCAGCTACTCAGGAGGCTGAGGCGGGAGAATCACTTGAACCCGGGAGGCGGAGGTTGCAGCGAGCTGAGATCGAGCCACTGCACTCCAGCCTGGGTGACAGAGAGAGGCCCATCAGATTAGTTCCTGTCGAGGTGCAGCTGGCTTTGGATGAAGGGTTTTGAGTGAATCGGGGGAGTTCTCTGCATTTTCAATTGCCCACTCTGTAGTTCCTAGGAGGAGTTCCATGAGACGGCTCTGTCACTGCTGGGCACCCAGACAACTGAAGAGCCTGCCCGTGAGCCTCTGTCAGTCACCAAATTGACCTGGCAAAGGAAATGAGCAATCAAATGTCTCCCACTGGGCTGTGGTGTAACATTAAACAGGGCAAAGTCAAGGAAGAAAGCAGATCTCAAAGAATCCACTTGCTGAAGTAAAAGCCTTTGTAGAAACACGAGTGGTTTTTCTTTAAGGCATCATTTTGACGATTTTACATCTTCATTTTGCATGGGTACAAGGCTTTTAATAGAGAGAATGTTATGACGAAAAATAAGGTGACGAAACCAGTTAAAAGTGAAAAGCGCTCTCAATACACAGCAACGGTATCACACCCTGGGCTCACACTTCCTTTAACCCACGCTATCCTTCTAAGAAGCAAAGAGCATCTCATCACACAGGGCAAGAACTACAATGACGCACACGTGTGATAAATATCAAATCAAACAAGTGTGCGGGAGATTGCGCTGTGGAGTTTAACAGAAAGGCTGATGTTTCCACAAACTAAAACAAATTTTCTTCATCTTAGTTCAATGAAAAGTTTATAGTTTACAAAAAATGAGCCTAAACGTAGAACTGTCCTGCTAAGCTAACATTTCATTTTATTTATCATTTATTAATTTAATTTATTTATTTATTGAGATGGAGTCTTGCTCTGTCACCCAGGCTGGAATGCAGTGGCGCGATCGTGGCTCACTGCAAACTCCACCTCCCGGGTTCATGCCATTCCCCGGCCTCAGCCTCCCTAGTAGCTGGGACTGCAGGTGCCCGCCACCACGCCTGGCTAATTTTTTTGTACTTTTAGTAGAGACAGGGTTTCACTGTGTTAGCCAAGATGATCTCGATCTCCTGACCTCGTGATCCGCCTGCCTCAGCCTCCCAAAGTGCTGGGATTACAGGCGTGAGCCACCGTGCCCGGCCTATTTATTTATTTTTTAAAGACAGGGTCTGACTCTGTCACCCAGGCTGGAGTGCAGTGCCACGATCATGGCTCACTGCAGCCTTGACCTCTCGGGCTCAAGCGATCCTCCTACCTCAGCCTCATGAGTAGCTGGGACAAGTGCATACCACCACAGCCAGCTAATTTTACTTTTTGTAGAGACAGGGTCTTGCCATGTTGCCCAGGCTGATATCGAACTCCCAGCCTCAAGCAATCATCCTGCCTCAGCCTTCCAAAGTGCTGGGGTTACAGGCACAAGTCACTGCGCCTGGCCAATATGAACATTTTTCAGGCTTCTGATATATTACTGCCAAATCATCCTTTGGAAAAATGTGAAACTGTTTTCTTTTTCTCTTTTCTTGAGATGGAGTTTTGCTCTTGTCGCCCGGGCTGGAGTGCAGTGGTGTGATCTCGGCTCACTGCAACCTCTGCCTCCCGGGTTCAAGCGATTCTCCTGCCTCAGCCTCCCGAGTAGCTGGGACTACAGGCACCCGCCACCACGCCCGGCTAATTTTTGTATTTTTAGTAGAGACAGGGTTTCACCATGTTGGCCAGGCTGGTCTCAAACTCCTGATCTCAGGTGACGCACCCGCCTCGGCCTCCCAAAGTGCTGGGATTACAAAAGTGAGCCACTGTGCCCGGCCTTAAACTGTTTTCTTAAACTGCTATTATCGCCTAGTTCTATCATTGAAAACAAAACAAAACAAAATAAAAATCTTAAGGCCGGGTGCAGTGGCTCAGGCTTGTAATGCCAGCACTTTGGAAGGCTGAGGTGGGAGGATGACATGAGGCCAGGAACTTGAGACCAACCTGAACAGCAGAGCGAGACCCTGTCTCTACAATAAAATAATTTTAAAAATTAGCTGGGTGTGGTGGTGCACAGCTGTAGTTGCAGCTACTTGGGAGGCCAAGGTGGAAGGACTGCTTAAGCCCGGGAGGTTGGGGCCACCATGAGCTGTGATGATACCATTGCACTCTATTCTGGGCAACAGAGTGAGACCCCTGTTTCTTAAAAAAAAAAAAAAATTTTTTTAAACCCAACTTTACAACTTTTTTAAAAAGGTTTTTAAAACAGAAAGAAACAATTCTTAAAATGCAAAAAAGCAACAATCTCACATCAGCACACCGTCACATTCCTCTGAAGTCAGCTATACTAAAGCTAGAGAATAGATTATCCACATGAAAGTGACTAAATACGGGCATTGGCTGTGTAAGTACAATTAGTGCTGTCTATAAATGCCGTTTTCAAATTAATTTATCTTCATAGCAGTTAGCAGGCAAGTGTCACTGACGCTATGGCTGTATGACGTGCATGAAAGACTGAATCAGCTGGGGTATCTCAACACCACTTTCTGGCATGAAAAAGCGGATGGATAAGCTCTTCCACACCTACTCATCTGCGGGCTTCCTACCAGGAATGCTTTGTCTCTACTGTTGTGACCACAGTGCCTGGCACACGGGAGGGCCTCCGTGAACACAACCGTGGTTCTCATCTACCGAGGCTACTTACTGACAGGATCATGCGGTACTTGAAATTGGGAAATTCGGTGTCGCACTTCTCACAGCGGTACAATCCATTCTGTTGATCAATCACTTTCTTATTGCAGTCCTGAGTCGGGCAGGCTTGGTACATGCAGTTCTCTTTGCGAAGATACACCACTGTGGCCACAGAACTAAAGTAGTCCGGCTTCGGGAGAAAAGAACAGCATGAGGCACGGAGTCGCGAGCCCGCCCAGGATCGGACCGAGAGGCAGCTCAAAGCCTGCCCTTACGTTTAGGTGGTAAGTGTTTCTACATCCTCAAGATTACACATGATCACAGGGAATCATTCATTCTGTAGTTTTAGAAATCACATGTGCCGAGTACAAAACCCATGAAGGTAATAAGCCAAGTTCTAATAAGCCAAGTTCTGAGGCAGATAATTCCTTCACAATAAAAGAGTTAATCCTAAATTACACTAAGTTAATTAAAAGTGAAATTGTTTTCCTGTTTGCTTGAACACTGTATGAAAGACAAAGATTTGTTCCTCCCGATCCTCTGACCCTCCAAAGGCCACAGATCTAGGAAATACAGAATGCGGACCACAAACACCCAGTGCAGCAACGATCAACCATCCCTCCCGCGCTCAAAACACGGCAGTCGTGTCTAGGCCTAGATTCACCTTTTCCTTGTTTAGGCCAGGGATCAGCAAGCTGCTTCTGTAAAAAGCCAAACAGTAAATATTTCAGGCCTTAGCAGCCATTTGGTCACAGTCTCTGCTGCAACTACAGACACACCTCACTTTATTGTGCTTTGCTTTACTGCACTTGACAGATACGGCATTTTTTACAGATTGAAGACTTGTGGCACCCCTGGGTCAAGTAAATGCACTATTTTCCCAATAGCAGGTGCTCACTTTATGTCTCTGTGTCACATAAAGACAGTAATTCTTGCAAGATTTCAAACTTTTTCATTATATATGTATTTTTTGAGACAGAGTCTCGCTCTGTCGCCCAGGCTGGGGTGCAGTGAGTGGTGTAATCTCTGATCACTGCAGCCTCCACCTCCCAGGTTCAAGTGATTCTCCTGCCTCAGCCACCCAAGTAGCTGGGACTACAGGCGTGCACTACCACGCCTGGCTAATTTTTGTATTTTTTAGTAGAGATGGGGTTTTGCCATGTTGGGTAGGCTGGTCTCGAACTCCAAACCTCAAGTGATCCACCCACCTTGGCCTCCCGAAGTGCTAGGATTATAGGAGTAAGCCACCATGCCTGGCCCTTTTTCATTATTATCATATCTGTTATGGTGATTTTTTTTTTTTTTCTGAGACGGAGTCTCGCTCTGTCACCAGGCTGGAGTGCAGTGGCATGATCTCAGCTCACTGAAATCTCCGCCTCCCAGGGTCAAACGATTCTCCTGCCTCAGCCTCCCGAGAAGCTGGGACTACAGGCATGCACCACTACGCCCAGCTAATTTTTGTATTTTTAGTAGAGACGGGGTTTTAACCACGTTGGTCAGGATGGTCTCGATCTCCTGACTTCAGGTGATCCGCCTGCCTCAGCCTCCCAAAGTGCTGGGATTACAGGAATGAGCCACCGCGCCTGGCCTACAGTGATCTTTAACGTCACTATTGTAGTTGTTCTGGGGTGCCACCAACTACACCCATATAAGATGGGGAACTTATATTGATGAATGTTGTATGTATGCTGACTGATCCTCCAATCAAGTATTCCTGTCTCTCTTCTTTGAATACACAAATAAGAAAGCAAACAGCCTTACTGCTGATATGGAGTAAGCTGTAGTGGTCTAGATAGAATATCAAGCAAGCCACAACATTCTCTTAAGCCAAAGCCTAACCCAGAGCAAGGCCTCACCTTTCTTCAATTCTGTGAAGGCTGAGAGAGGTCAGGAAGCTGCAGAAGAGGCCAGGTGCAGTGGCTCACACCTGTAATCCCAGCACTTTGGGAGGCAGAGGCAACATGATTGCCTAAGCCAAGGAGTTCGATACCAGCCAGGCAACATAGTGAGACCTAGTCTCTACAAAAATCTGTCAGGGCACGGTGGTGTGCACCTGTAGTCCCAGCTACTCCAGAGGCTGAGGTGAGCTGTGATTGCACCACTGCACTCCAGCCTGGGTGACAGAGTGAGACTCTGTCTCAAAAAAAAAAAAAAAAAAAGCTGCAGAAGAAAAGATGGCAGCCAGCAGATGTTGGTTCATGAGGTTTAAGGAAATAAGCCGTCACCATAACAAAAGTGCAAGGTGAAGCAGCAAGTGCTGATGGAGAAGCTGCAGCAAGTTATCCAGAAGATCTAGCTAGGACCACCAATGAAGGTGGCTGCACTCAACAACAGATTTTCAACGTAGACAGAATAGCCTTCTGGAAGAAGATGCCATCAAGAACATTCGTCCTAGAGAGTAGAAATCAATGCCTGGCTTCAAAGCTTCAAAGGAAAGGCTGACTCTCCTGTTAGGCGCGAATGCAGCTGGGGACTATAAGGTGAAGCCAGTGCTCATTGACCATGTCAAAAATCTTAGGGCTCATAAGAACTATGCTAAATCTACTTTGCCTCTGCTTTATAAATAGAATATCAAAGCTTGGATGACAGCATATCTATTTATAGTGTAGTTTATTGAATATTTTAAGCCCACTGTTGAGACCTACTACTCAGAAAAAGAGACTCCTTTAAAAATATGACTGCTCATTGACAATGCACCTGTTCACCCGAGAGCTCAATGGAGACACACAGTACGAGGAGATTAATATATTGACAATGCACCTGTTCACACAAGAGCTCAATGGAGACACACAGTACAAGGAGATTAATATATTGACAATGCACCTGTTCACCCAAGGGCTCAATGGAGACACACAGTACAAGGAGATTAATATATTGACAATGCACCTGTTCACCCGAGGGCTCAATGGAGATGCACAGAACAAGGAGATTAATATTGTTTTCATGCTTGATAACAACATCTATTCTGCAGCCCATGCAAATCAAGGAGTAATTTTGACTTTTTAAGTCTAAGAGACATATTTCATGAGGCGATAGTTGCCACAGTGATTCCTCTGATGGATCTGGGGAAAGTAAATTGAAAACCTGAAAAGGATTCACCATTCTAGATGCTATTAAGAACAGTTGGCTGGGCACAGTCGCTCACACCTGTAACTCCTGGCACTTTGAGAGGTTGAGGCAGGGAGATCCCTTGAGCCCAGGAGTTTGAGAGCAGCCTGGGCAACATGACACAACTCAGTCTCTACAAAAAATACAATTAGCCAGGTGTGGCAGCACCTGTAGTCCCAGCTTGGGAGCCTGGGGAGGTTGAGACTGCAGTGAGCTGTGATCAAGCCAGTGCACTCCAGCCTGAGTGACAGAATGAGACCCTGTCTCAAGTTAAAAAAAAAAGGAACATTCATGATTCATGGGAGGAGATCAAAATCCCAACATCAACGGGAGTTTGGAACAAGTTGATTCCAACCCTCAAGGTAGACACTGAGGCTTCAAGACTTTGGTGGAGGAGGGATCTGTAGATGTGACGAAAATAACGAGAGAACTAGAATTACAAATGGAGCCTGAAAATGGGCCTGAACTGCTGTAATCTCACGATCAAACTTGAACGGATAAGGAGCTGCTCCTTACGATGGGCAAGGAAAGTGCTTTCTTGAGATGAAATCTCTTGTGGTGAGAACGCTGTGAGCATTGTTGAAATGACGACAAAGGATTTAGAATTTGCATAAGCTTGGCTGATAAAGCAGTGACAGGACCTGAGAGGGAGAGACTCCAGTTTGAAAAAGTTCTCCTGTGGGTAAAATGCTGTCAAACAGCATCGCCGGCTATGGAGAAAGCTTTTGTGAAAGGAAGAGTCAACCAATGTGGCACACTTCACTGCTGTCTTATTTTAAGAAACTGCCAAAGACACGCCGATGTTCAGCAACCATCGCCGTGACTGCTCAGCCATCAACCCTGAAACAAACCCCCACCAGCAAGAAGATTACGACTCAGATGATTGTCAGCATTTTTCAGCAATAAAGTTTTTGTTTCAAGAGAAGGGGTCTTCCATGTTGCTCAGTCGAACTCCTGGGCTCATGTAATCCACCTGCCTCAGCCTCCTGGGTAGCTGGGATTACAGAGAACCGAAAGAGTGGGTGTCCCATGACAGGACAACGAGGATCTGTCCAGTGTTTAATTCTTGAGATGTTCTATAAGAGCACTTAAGAGCTGCTGTTGACAATGATGGATAAGGGTATACAGTGAAATGAGACAGGAGGAATGAAACCTACACTGTATATGATGAAAATAAAAGAGCAGGCGTAAAGGAGAAATAAATGATCTAAATACTAAACTGCTGGCAGAACACAGGCTTAGATCAAGATGGGAGGAGGGTCATTAAATACAAACACTGAAAGGAAAAAGCTGCAACTAAAAGTCAAATGTCAGGGCCAATCCTTGTCCGGGAATGCCGGCAGCTCTCAGCCTATGAGGTTAATACACTATTCTACAGCCAGGAACAGCACCCGTGAAACTGCCTCATGTCTGACCTGAGGCGGACTAACGCTCATCTCAAAAAACATCTTTTTGATATGTGGGCGCTTAAATTTGCAGGAAGGATCACAGGAAAGAAACGTGGACCCGAAAGCAGGTGATATTATACCACAAAGCTTGACTGTCACCCCTGCTCCAAGATCCCTCTAGGAATTGACTCTAAGAGTTCTTCAGACTCTCCTGCCTCCAGTCCCCTGAGGGGTAACACATATTCCCATGAGCACACCTGGCTGCTTCCCTCTGCCAGTGATTCTCAACCCCCATGCCACGCTCAGGTCACAGCCCCGGGTAAGAATTACGGCTCTGACAGCTGGTGCTGGAAACCAAGTTTCTAAATCCATCCTTCTGCACACTTTACAGCCCTTTGTGAAGGTGGTTAGGAATGCTGGGTACCTTGTCGCCTTGGCCCAGGTTCTCGGATTTGACCTCATACAAGGTTTTCCAGTTGGTGTTACTCCCTCCGACTCCGCCGCTCTTTAGATCAGAGATGGAAACACCATCTAAGGCTTGTCCTTCTGCGTCAAACCTGAAAACGTGAACGAATAACGATGACGAGCGCTTGATGTGACATGCTTCTGCTTCTCCACATGCAACTTGCTGCTACGCGACAGACACAGGTTTCCCACCACCCGCCCAGCTTTCACACAGGTCACGGTCATGTCGGCTGAAGCTGGTATCTTCGTAATTATATATTTTTTATAATATTTAAATTAAAAAAAATTGTGTCAGAGTTTCACTCTGTCACCCAGGCTGGAGTGCAATGATGCAATCATGGCTCAAGGCAGCTTTGACCCCCTGAGCTCAGTGATCCTCCCACCTTTGCCCTGCTAAGTAACTGGGACTTCCATGCCCAGGCCCATTAAAAAAATTTTTTTTAGGCTGGGCGCAGTGGCTCATGCCTGTAACCCCAGCATTTTGGGAGGATGAGGCGGGCGGATCACGAGGTCAAGAGATCAAGACTATCCTGGCCAACATGGTGAAACCCCGTCTCTACTAAAAATACAAAATTAGCCGGGCGTGGTGGTGGGTGCCTGTAATCCCAGCTACTCGGGAGGCTGAGGCAGGAGAATCACTTGTAGGCAATTCTCAGGAGGCGGAGGTTGCAGTGAGCCGAGATGGCGCCATTGCACTCCAGCCTGGGCAACAAGACCGAAACTCCGTCTCGAAAAAAAAATTTTTTTAAGAGATGGGGTCTTGCTCTGTTGGCCAGGCTGATCTCAAACTCCTGGACTCAGACAATCCTCCTCCCTCGGCCTCCCAAAGTGCTGGGATTACAGGGCGTGAGGCACTGCTCCTGGCCCAAAGTCTACTGAAGAAACGGAATGACCTTTCTTTGAATCTCAGTTGCTTTGATGCCCCCCAGTGGTGAAGAGAATCAGTGCCAAAGTACCAAAGAATCTTTTCTTAAACTAGCCTTGCATATTGGCAGTGGCCAGACCACCCCAGGCCTAAAATCAGAAACTGGGAAAGTCAACAACCCGTAAGCTATAAAGTGGCCGTCTGGGGTAGTCCTTTAATCTGCTAATGCTCATTCTCAGGCAGCAGCTGCGTGGTGATCATCACCGAAATGTACCAGTGTGGAAACGGACAGCCAATATACCGTGGTAGCAAAAGTGTTTCCATAAAAGGCCTCCTATGCCTGATACAGAAGCCAAAAGTGGTTTTTTTGTTTTGAGACAGAGTCTTGCTTTGTCACCCAGGATGGAGTGTGGTGGTACCAACTTGGCTCGCTGCAACCTCCACCTCCTGGCAAGTGATTCTCGTGCCTCAGCCTCCCGAGTAGCTGGGACTACAGGCACGCACCGAGTAGCTGGGACTACAGGCCCGGCTGATTTTTGTATTTTTTGTAGAGACGAGGTTTCACCATGTTGGCCAGGCTGGTCTTGAACTCCTGGCCTCAAGCAATTGTCCACCTCGGCCTCCCAAAGTGCTGGAATTAAGGTATGAGCCACCGTGCCTGGCCCAAAAGATTTTATAAACCAGAGCAACTTATCAGAAGGCATTATCTTTTTTCTTGTAGATTTACCTTCTTAGTGAAATTTTACTTTTGCTAATATCGAAGCTAAATTAATTTGTATTAAATTATTATGAAAACTGATTGTACTTCTTGATCACACATCAATTGATATGAAGGAAAAGGGGCCAAGGAGAAAGTGGCTCGGGAACACAGTGGTGGCGGAGAGGAGCTGGCCGGAGATGAAAGGCCAAATACCATCCCAAGGTGGGTAACCACACAAAGAACAGGTTCCTTAAACAGAGACCATCTAACAGAATGGATGTTACCCTGAGCTGCAGACAGCTGCCTTCTCCTGTCAGGTAAGCGGCTAAATCCCTCACAGGGGCACAGCAAGGCCCATCCATCTGTTTCACCACTACTAGCTACACAAGTTCACGGTTTCAAAAGCTCCAAGGAGACATTTGCCACCAAAGATCACTCGTCAGGAGTCAAGGCGGCCCTTCTTACAATAAAAACTCTGCATTGTTATAGCCAAGATCTAAACATCTCTAATCCTTGTCCAGGTATCATGTATGCACTGAGCTTGTCTTTGATCAATGCCAAGTTATTTTATTCTGGGGACAGCCGTGCTTTTTATGTTGACTGGGATCATGATTATTGACAAGTAAAAGATGAAGACATTAATGTGGGAATGCAATTTTAATGTGGGAATGCGATTTTAATGTGGGAATGCAATTAACCTGGAGTCGAACTCCAGAGCCTAAAAGAAAATCAAGCAATAAGAAAAAAGCAAATCTGTGGCTAGTTCTGGTCAGACTATGAACGGGCCCTGCAGTTCGGCAGATACGTGTGGACCGTACTACTCATGAGGATGGCTCAGTGACATGAACATTCCAGAAGATGCTTCATGAAACTGGTCAAACACCAGTGCCATTGGTTTAAATGACTCAAAACAAAGGAGGAGTATGTAAAATGAGCTCATTCTTTAGCTGCTTAAATCCTAAGACACAGCTGGAAACTGACACACTTCCCCCCCATAGACTACAGCTATGGGAATTATTGAAGCTTGGGTGAAAGTGTTTTCCCTGACCACATCAATTCTTGCATCCTGTGTCTCAGTTTGAAGTACTCTTTTAAGACAGAGTTTGAATGTCCTAAAAAGCTAGATACAGTGAGGAGATTTTAACAGGCTCTCCTCATCCCTTGAGTGCTTTGGGAATAACAATCTAATCCTAACAAAAAGCCCATTGTTCTCACCACACTTGATCAGAGTCTAGTGAATACACACTAGAAGATGTGATCGGCACCAAAGACTTGACAGAGAAAGAAAGCATGTGTTCCCCCACGCCACAGAGGCCCAGAGCCTAAACCCTGGAAAGAAAGGCGCCTTCAGCACACCGCTGCTGAAGCCTGGCCGTCCCCTCCTTTGGCAGGATCGAGGTCAGCAGGCAGCACTTACATGCTAATTGCCTCCTCCGACTCTCTAGGTTTGTCCTGGGATTACAGGTTTGTCCGTTTAAGGGCTTTAAAGCCCTCCTCACAGAAGGCATAATGCCTTCAAGAAACACGGAAGCTGCACCACTCAGGGACGAAGGCTTCTGCTTGGCAGAAAGCTCCCATGCTGATTGTAACCAGCTTTTCTCAAAGCCCAGCCTCAAGTAACCCTTTGTTTAGCCCCACAAAACCTACCATCCACGAAGCTTATAGGCCTCTGGGATGTCAGGATTCGCAATGATAGTGCTTGAAGACAGCACGGAGAGGCTCCGTCCACCGAAATCAGAGACTCGGGCTCCTTTGATAGCCAACACGGGCTGTCTAGAACCATCAAATTTATCAGCCTGTAAAAGAAACACCAGACATATACAAGTGTCACTAGCAGGAAGAACACAGAAGATTTTTATAGAAAACAAGGCAAACATTCAATAGTAGAGTGAATGTAATCAGCGTACATGGAATCCATACAAGACAGACCTCACACATGAGAATCTACTCAGAGACACATCAAAACTATCACTGCTTTCCTAGAGTTAGGGGAAAGAGCATTTCCCCGCGTAAAGCTTGAATCACAGCAAATCTCACAGAAGTAAGATAAAGGATTTTAAATACTTACCAGACAGCACAATCCTTCCCATCTACATGGTGAAAGCCCCCAACTCATAGGACAAAACCGCCCCCACGAGGAGCTCCTCCTGTGTGTGCTAACAGCCCCATCCTATAGGACAAGACGCCCCCTCCGCCAACCCCAGGAGCTCCTCCTGTGTGTGCTGAAGGCCCCATCCTATAGGACAAGACCCCTCCCTCCCCCAACCCCAGGAGCTCCTCCTGTGTGTGCTGAAGGCCCCATCCTATAGGAACAGACGCCCCCTCCGCCAGCTCCAGGAGCTCCTCCTGTGTGTGCTGAAGGCCCCATCCTATAGGACAAGACCCCTCCCTCCCTCAACTCCAGGAGCTCCTCCTGTGTGTGCTGAAGGCCCCATCCTATAGGACAAGATGCCCCCTCCGCCAACTCCTGGAGCTCCTCCTGTGTGTGCTGAAGGCCCCATCCTATAGGATAAGACCACTCCCTCCCCCAACTCCAGGAGCTCCTCCTGTGTGTGCTGAAGGCCCCATCCTATAGGACAAGACCACGCCCCAACCCCAGGAGGTCCTGTGCGTGTTGAAGACCCCATCCCAGCACTTACATCTTCCCCCCACAGTGTAGCAGTCACCACCTTCCCGGATGTGTCCATCAAGTAGATATTCCTCTTGGCAACTTCTCTGTTGTTAGACCTCACTGTGATTTTAGTGGCGTCTTCATAGCTCTTGCAGATCCCGATGATGTCTAAAACACATGCACGTGTTAGCAGGAGGTGGTCAAGACTCCCATTCCGACGCCAGCAAATGATGAACGGCAAGCACTGAAGCCTGACACCACCCCGTACACTGCAAAGAAAGCTAGTCATCCCTGCTCTTCCTTCTCATACACGAGCTTACCTACAAGTGAGTCTTTCGACTTGTTCTCGAGGTCATCAATCCCCGTGAAATCAAACTGAACCGTAGGTAAATGATGGTCGTCCTCACAGGGCATGACGGAAGTCTCGTTATTGAAGGTCATCTCGTAGTCATTTTTAACAGCTGTGAACTGCTTGTTAGCAATCTTCAGGGTGCCTTTCGAGAAATAATACACCTGCGAAGGAGGCCAAGCCACAGAACCTGAGACTACCATCAAATCGGACAGAAACCCCTAGTCTGCCACCACACACCCCTCCCCTGGGCCAGCGTCTTTTCATCCGCACTCCACCCCCAGGCGGTGTCAGTTCTAAAGTCAGCACGGCCATACCTTGTTCACTTCAATAAGAGGAAAGAACTTGTCCACTTGCTCATTGAAAGCTGTAGCTCGGATTTCACCCTGCAGAAGCACGTGGGCAGGTTAGGGCTGCGGGATTGAACACAGGCCACCCCAGCACCCAAGTGACACTGGGATAGAACACAGGCCACCCTAGCACCAAAGTGACATCTTGAGAGCAGTGGCCCTTGCACAAACAGGGTCCAGAGAGGGCTACGGACATCCCAGGAACCCGCATTTTACAGTCACACACTGAAGTCACTGGCCCCGCTGAAGAATGAGAATTTCAGCTAGCCGATCCCATAATCATGCTGCATTAGCCTCAACTGAGAAACAGAACAGAACAAAACGGCAATGACGAGTTTAATTTATTCTGACAATAAAAACAAAAAAAGTTGAATACTGAGGGACACGCCCAGAGCCCACGAGGAAGGTGCTGCCACGGGGTGATTCACCGGCTCCCTCCACAGTGCCCTCTCAGTGACAAACCACTTCACATTCGGAGCCATTGCCAAAAATGTCAGAGTAAGTCATGTTTGCAAGTTGCTTGTGATCTGATTTTCACTTTTGCTTTTCTGTCAGCCAAAATTTACAAGTGGACAAGAAATTTTAGCCAACCACCATACATTAGAGCAATAATTTCTAAAAAAAAATTAGGTTCTAATATTGATTCTGCCATCACACAAACATTTTGGGTGTTATATCAACTTCCAAAAAAAACATCTATTTTTTTCTCCCTATTTGGGAGTCTGAACAAACAGGAAATCTGCAGCACTTTGAAAAGAATGCTGAAGTACATTTTAGGAATTATTATTATTTTTGAGATGGAGTCTCACTCTGTCGCCCAGGCTGGAGTGCAGTGGTGCAATCTTGGCTGGCTCCAACCTCCACCTCCTTGGTTCAGGCGATTGATTCTCCTGCCTCAGCCTCCCAAGTAGCTGGGACTACAGGCACCTGCCACCATACCCAGCTAATTTTTGTATTTTTAGTATAAACGGGGTTTCACTATGTTGGCCAGGCTGGTCTCGAACTCCTGACCTCAAGTGATCTGTGCACCCTGGCCTCCCAAAGTGTTGGGATTACAGGCGTGAGCCACCACACCCGGCAATTTCAGGAATTATTAGCAAAACGAATGGACTGATTAACAGCTATCAAGACTGTCGTACTTCCATGGCATAGGAATTTTGTCTCATCGTCATGGTTTTGTTTAGTTTAAATAAAGCAAATAGAGAATCTGCACAGTCAGAACCCATTTCCCACAAAACCACTCCCATATCGAGGTCACAACTGTGTGCCTTCTGCTGTGTCCCAAAGCTCCACGGCGCTCACAAGCAGGCATCACCTCCCAGTGCTTCCAGTACACCTGCCAGCAAATCAGACTGTTTCCAGCTTCTCCTGCCCAGGAGGCTACTTATATATTTAGAAAACTACTTTCTACTGCTACAAACGCTGTCATTTAAGATCAAAGATTTTATTTATGACCTTAACCCTCTACTCCAGACAGCATCAAAAGACTATGACAGAGGGAAAAGCACAATAACAATCATGCTTCTCTCTGGCCTACTATTATTCTTCACCTCATAGGCCCGCAGAGCTGAGCCTTCTGTTTCTCGGCGAGCCCACTGCCCTCCGCAGAGCTGAGCCTTCTGTTTCCCAGCGAGCCCACTGCCCTCCGCAGAGCTGAGCCTTCTGTTTCCCGGCGAGCCCACTGCCCTCACTCCCCAGCATGACAAACACTCACACTTTCGTCAACCAGTTCTAGGGAGAAAAGCTTCCCTTCCCCTCGGGAGTTGCTCCAGGTACGGATCTGACTTTTGTTGGTAACACGAGCACAAATGGTCCACCTACAAACCAAATCGATCATATTAGTGTATGGGGTCTTCCTTGGAAAAGATCAAGTAAGAAATCATCTTCCTACAGCCTTTCTCGTCTTACGCATATTCCGTTTTCCAACCTGTATTTTAATCCAGCTAATTAAAACCCCAAGATGACACATGGGTTTGACAGTTTACAGAATAAGCAAATAGTAAAACATGCAAAGTGATTTAATACTAACTCATTCTCCTGTCAAATAAGTAAATTTATAAACTCTCTCCCTTCTCCAAAAAGCATCACCAAGGCAACCATATCCCCTTAATGAAAGGTTCTAAGCTGGAAAATACAGTAACACCAGCAATTATATTTTGCCACAGTTTTCAATTATGGGAACTGATATAACTGGTGTTACACTTCTGTCTCATTCGTAACACACCCTGAATAGAATACACGATGTTGGTGGACCATCAGGAAGAACACACTGAAGCAGCATGACCTTAGAGAGAAGCATGGAAAAAGGAGGCACAGGGCACATTAGGTACCCCACTTATAATTTCACAGGGAAAAATATCTTTCCTACGTTACAGAGTATTGAAGAATAAATATAAACATATCTGGAAGGATTCTGAAAAAAGAACTCTAATTTTTAACTATTCAAATTACTTTATTTTGTTTATTTATCTTGAGAGACGGAATCTCACTCTGTTACTCAGGCTGGAAGGCAGTGGCACAATCTTGGCTCACTGCAACCTCCGCCTCCTGGGTTCAAGCGATTCTTCTGCCTCAGCCTCCTGAGTAGCGGGGATTACAGGCGTGCTCCACAACACCTGGCTAATTTTTGTATTTTTAGTAGAGACACGGTTTCACCATGTTGGCCAGGCTGGTCTCAAACTCCCGACCTCAGGTGATCCACCCGCCTCAGCCTCCTAAAGTGCGGGGATTACGGGCATGAGCCACCGCGCCCGGCTTCAAATTAATTTTTGGTGGAAAAAAGTCATATAAAAGAAATTTATGTTCAGGGTATGTTCATGTGTTTAATACAAATAGTGCAGATTATTTTAGCCAACTAAACCAAAGACGAAGTCACCTGTTTATAGGAGAAGATTAAATGCCTTTTGAATTATCAGAAATATTTATTTTTACTCATAAGACTATCAACTGATTAAGCATTAAGTATTTTTAATTTCAAATTCTTTCAAAATGAATGAAACCCCACAGGCTATGGCAGATTGCTATTGTTACTATATTTTCCAACAAGAGTTAAAAGTTTGCCACAATTTGTACCCCTTTCCTCCTCAGCAAAAAAAAAAAAAAAAAAGAGTAAACCCATTCTATTTGGTGGTATTTGGTGGTGACCCTGAAGTTCACGCATAAATAACTCAAGAGTCCATAATAGCTTCTCCGATTTCATAAGTACACTCTGAACTTACTCTATGCAACAACTCACTTGGACTGGTAAGGAGTGAGGCTGGCAATGGGCACCACTTTGGACTGTGTTCCCCCAGAAGTGTGTGACAGGCTGGGACCTGCAGCTTTTCCAAATGTCTTTGAAGCACCATAAGCCTTAGAAACAGTAGAACCTTTAAAAACAAACGCAAACGAAAAGGAGTTATTACTATTCTACTTAGCTTTTTTATAGTAAGCTTTACAATAACTCTAAATTTTGGAGGTGCCACTAGTGAAATCATATAACATGAGAGGCAAAGCTTTTCCTTTTTATATGCAAGAGATACGCAGATCAAATAGAGACTGAGGCTGGAGGCTACAAAAGCAATCTAGGATGAAGGCTGCGCACACAGCAGCTCACTGCTATGTTTGCTGATGTCAGCCCCGAGGTCAAAGTAATAATGGTGACGAATCCAGACACTGCTGTTTCTGAAGGCCGCCCTCTTAAACACTTCTCTTGCCTCAACGGGCAAGATAATGGGTGAGAAAAAGAAAATCAACTTTTGTAACTGGTAAAACTGATGGCAAGGCACTAGTCACATGAAGAAAGACAGGATGTAAGGGACCTATCACAAATAGATCGCCTCCAAATCCCCAGACAACTCCCAGATCTCAATGCGTCTGAAGGACTAGCAAGTCTAGAATGAAGTCTGTAAGAATGAGTTTCGTCGGGTGCAAAGGGCAGGAATCAGTTTTTGGTCAAGATATGTTAAGTGGGTGACCACTAAGACCCTTCCGCCTCCTTAATCCAAACCTAAGCAGCTGCCCTGCGCTGGGAAAGAACAGGGAATCAGGTGAGTTCTTTTATACGCACCACGTATCTGCAAAACTCAACGTCCAAATTCAGAAAATATAATTTAGTTCAGTGATTTCATACCCTCTACATCAAAACATTTCTTCAGAATAGAATTTGGCTAAAAATATCAATACACCATCTATCCAGTATTTATTTACTGGGTTTCCACGGCATGTGCCACACCCTTCTAGGCATTCGTAGTAATTAGTAAAAAATATACATAGGAGTGTTTCTGTGTTGAAATTTTCTAACTGGGGAGTCGAGAGAGATCAATACACACACAATAGTAATTACCTCAAGATCGTGTAAGGACACACAGGTACTTTGTAGAATACATGTGTATACCCATACATAATATATAATTTTATAAAACACACACAAGCATCCATTCATCCAATCTATTTCATGCTGGGTAGCTTCTCCTCAGTACACATCCAGTTCATTTCCTTTCACTACATAGTTTAGGGAACATTAACTGATTTTCATTTTTTTGAGACAAGGTCTTGCTCTGTCCCCCAGGCTGGAGTGCAGGTGGCACGATCTTAGCTCGCTGCAGCCTCAAACTCCTGAGCTCAAACGATCCTCCCACTTCAGCTTCTTGAGTAGCTGGGACTATAGGTGTGCACCACCACGCCCAGCTGATTCTTAAAAAGATTTTTTTAGAGGGATCGGGTCTCACTATGTTTGGCTGGTGTCAAACTGCTGGGCTCAAGCAATCCTCCTGCCCTGGCCTCCCAAAGTGCTGGGATTACAGGTGTGAGCCACTGTGCCCAGCCCAGATTTTTAAAAATATATTTTAACATAAGGCAAAGATAGACAACCAGAAAAATAATTCTGTGGAGGGAGGGAGAGGAATAACGTACTATTTGTATATAAGCCTAAGGAAATGATTATTTACCACTTTAGAGAGTCTATTTCACCACTCTCTTCAAAAGTGTGTGTGTGTGTGTGTGTGTGTGTGTGTGTATATATATATATATATATATTTTTTTTTTTTTTTTTTTTTGAGACAGAGTCTCACTTTGTTGTCCAGGCTAGAGGGCACTGGCGCAAACTTGGCTCACTGCAACCTACGCCTCCTGGGTTCAAATGATTCTCATGCCTCAGCCTCTCGAGTAGCTGGGACTACAGGTGCACACCACCATGCCCGATTAATTTTTGTACTTTTAGTAGAGATGGGTTTTCACCATGTTGGCCAGGCTAGCTAGTCTCGAACTCCTGACCTCAAGTGATCCGTCCACCTCGGCCTCCCAGAGTGCTGGGATTATAAGCGTGAGCCACCAAGCCTGGCCAACAGCATGTAATTTTTGAGTTGTGTATAAATAGATCCTCTTATAAAAGGAGAGACAGAGCAAGAGAGAGAACGTGCAAGAGCGAGAGAGGTAGACGGATCGTGCAAGGTAGATTAAAAACAACAAAGGGCAAGGGGGAAAGTCCTGAGAGTTTCACAGAAACATCAGTGACATCTTAACCTTGCTTTTCTCAGAATCTTAGCACTGAAAAATAGAAACTAATAGTTGAGGGGAGGAGAGGAGGTGTATGTGAAGCCGTGACAGAAAAAAGGACCTCTAAAAATAAATCCAACCACATTCTACAAATCCAAATTTTCAACGGTGACTTCCCAGATCAAGAGGTTCCTAAAGTAAAGGCCAGAAAGTAAACAAAATGATTCCATTAATGCCTCTTAGGACCTGCTGCAGAGAAAAGTAAATGAAGAAACCATTTCTCATCCATGAAATTGAGAAGGAGAACCTATGACCAATATAAGTAATACTGTCTTCAAGCAAACGATAAACACCCACGAGGCCCAAAATAGGAAACTCGGAGAGAGATGAGCCAAACTTAGTAAGTGGGTCCTGGATAGTTAAAAGGCAAGAACTTAAAAGGAATGCAAAGTCAGAGGGTGTAAAACCTGATGATGTGGGAAACGAAGAAACTACTTGGTCAACTACTAACAGAGAAGAATGTATCAATTTGATCTTTTTTAAAAGTCTGGCTGTTAAGTATCTTTAAGATTATCTTTGGCTGGACACCCTGGCTCACACTTATAATCCCAGCACTTTGGGAGGCCAAGGACGGAGGACTGCTTGAGGCCAGGGCAGTTTGAGACCAGCCAGGGCAACATAGTAAGACACCATTTCTACAAAAAAATTAGCCAGGCATGGTGGCATGCGCCCATAGTACCAGCTACTTGGGAGGTTAAGGCTGCAACGAGCTGTGATGCTTCCACTGCACTCCAGCCCCGCTGACAGAGCAAGACCCTACTTCCAAAAAAAAAAAAAAAAAAAAAGACAATCTTTAATTATTTTTTCAATCACATACTCTAAAATATGAATCAGAATTATTCTTTCCAAGACACAACCCTGTAATGAATGGCATTTGGAAAACTCCCTTTAGTCCCAGATTCAACTTCAAAACATGATTCCGAAGTCTGACACCCCTGGTCAGCGCACGCCCCGTGAGGCATCTCACCCATTCCCGAGCTTCCATTCTGCGGCTGGGGCCTGCTGCTTGCTGCTGGGCTGGCTGCTGGCGCTGGAGGAGCTACTTGCGGCTGCCCGAGTCCTGAAGATCAAAAGGGAAACCCCGTTTTAGTGCAAAGGATTTGGGTTAAGAGATTTAAACTTGGGTAGAAGGAATGCTCTGGGAAAGTGTAAATTTTTTATTTTGTCAAAGACTCCCATGGATTAGAATTCGTGCTGAGGCATTCCATGGCACTCGGTGAATTTGCTAGGGGTTCACTTTTTGTTTTCATTACACAAAAGGTTGGCTCCATCTACCTTTCACCTGCTTAGAATTGATAGCCTTCAGTGTTAATGAGGTTCTCCCCTAAAGCCTTGCCCATTTCTCCTGCAACAACCTGCAGTAAAGTCACTGGGTTGAATCTGTGACATTACCACTATTTCCATAGCAACAAATCGATGTCATCAACAGAACCGTGTGTTCACGGCAGGATCAATCAGAAGAAAAAGCTGGGTGGTAAGAAAAACCTAAAAGCAGTTCAGTTGTCTCTGAAGTGCTCCTGCTTCAAAGGAACAGGAGACATTCAGAAAGGATTCCACCCTCTCCCTCCCAAACAAAGCAACCTTATTTTGCAACTGACAGTTGGTGGAAAAGGCAAGTTGAAAGAGTCTCCAGTACCATGAAGTGCTGGTGAACTGTCACAGCGGGGAGAGATGACAATGGGGTTCGGAAGCAGGTGTGTCAAGGAAACAGGAAGATTAAAAGTAAAGGGGGGGAAATGAGCGTGTCTCAAGCAGAAAATAAGAAATGCCACCATAAGAGCATGTATTTGCCATCACTCTTTACACAAATGTTGATGGAGCTGAAGAATGTTAAAACTGTAAAATATGCCTCATTTTGTGAAATAACAGATTTATGGAATTTGACTTTGCCTTAGTGATTGGCTCTAAAAGGCAGAAGTCAACCTCATGTGGGCAGCTCACCAAGGGTACTTGCAGCACACAAAGGCAACTCAAAAAACTTTCCTAGAGTGCCCTGAGAACAAAAATGGTACCCACGGCTGGGAGGGCTTCCCACCTGCCACCCTGTCTCTGCCTTCTCCAACTGCTGAGTTCGCATTCCTGCTGCGTTTTCCAAGGTCCTAACTCAAACGGGCACATTACACACTGATTTAATTTACTTCTGCCAATATTACTCTTAACTGGCACAACTAAATGAGAGGTGGTTGTGCCATTAGAGTAAAATAAATTTAGCATAAAATTAAAAAGGTTAAATAGAACTGTTTAGTTCTTCCTATGGAGAGAAAAATTGAGAGACCTTATTTACATAGAAAAAGAGCCAGATTATTGACAGTGAAATTTTTGTGTTTACATTTTGGCTTTTCCATTATCTCTGAATTTACAAAGCGTCACACAAAATAGCAAAGGAAAACTGCTCATCTCTGACAATGCATCTTGTGAAGGAACAGTCTAAAATTCTGCAGTGGACCTTTTTTAAAATCAATAGAAAAAGATGAGTTGCTCAGGAAATAGTATTGGGGCTAAGTGGCTGGAAAGAAATAGAACAAAAGCTGTATCTTTACCTGCTTCATGAATTATATTATTCAAGAGAATAAAGATGTAAACATTCAAAAACAGAAGAGTACCATAAAAATACATAAGCCCCTGCTACACTCCCTCCGACTTCCTCCCTCTCTTCTATCATCTCCAAAACCACTAAACTAGAAAATCCCCTGCTGAGATCATATCTGCTTAAGAACTTTGTTGAAAAGGATGTGGTCATCTGATCTTGCTGATCACATAGATTCAATTTCTATAAAAATGTAGCTAAATCTTAAGAGGTACCTAACAGACAAATTCCCAGGGACAGAAAGTAGAAGAGGGGTCACCAGAGAATGGCGGGAGTGGGGAATGGAGTAGTGTTTAATAGGCTCAAGAGTTTCGGTTTGGGATGATGAAAAAGTTCTGAAGATGGATGGTGATGATGGCTTACGCCAACGTTAATGGACTTAATGTCACTGAACTGTATGCTTAAAACTGCTCAAATGTAAATTTCATGTTAGGTAGTATTTTACCACAATTTTTAAAAATGTGACTTACCTTAGTTTACCTATTCTAAGATCCACATTTTTTTCACATTTTAACATGTAAATTAATGTCTTACCATCACTTCCTTTTAGCAGTACATAATGTAACAGTACAGTCTTGTGATCCCCGGATTCTGAGAGTCCATGAAGCACAGAATATTTAACAATCAAGCCCTGTAATACGTATGAATTACAGCTACCCTTTCTTGAGTGCTCACCCTGCTTCAGGTACTGCATTCAGGAGAGTGCAGGTACGTGCATTGCTACAGTGCCTGCCAGCCCTAGGATGTAGACACTATTATCATACCCTTTAACAGGTGAGAACGCTGGGTTAGAGGAACCACGTAACTGGCTCAAATCACACAGCTGGGAAGCAGGACATCTGCTTGAACCGAGGCTTTTATGACTAGATCCATGTACTTCATCATCATCTAGGTAATTGTTAACTGTGAACGACCAATTCTGGCAGCCGCAACTCTAGTTGTGAGATCTGGTAATTAGGAAAAGCTACTAATCCACTTACTAGAGCAATCCTTAACTCCTGCTCTGGACCAGATGTGCAAATCTGGCACAAGAGACGAGAGACAGCCCGGAGCCAAATGGACGGCAAGAATCCGGTGCATTCTACATAGCAACATGTTGCAGTGCATGTTGTGAATGGCAAGGGGCCACGAGACCCCAGAAAAATCAGTCTACAGCTAAGTAAAAATCCTTCTAAAAATTAAATTACACCCCAAAGCAGTAATGCAGAGACTTAACTTCTGACACATCTTCTGCTTTGTGTCACCTGCAAATCAAACCATTCTAATAAGACAGGTCAACATCATGGTTCTCAGACTCTTTTGCTCTATGCTAGCTTTACATATCACTGGCTTTGACCTAGGGGGAAAATAGGATTTTTTTTTTTTTTTGAGACGTAGTCTCGCTCTTGTTACCCAGGCTGGAGTGCAACGGCGCCATCTCGGCTCACTGCAACCTCCGCCTCCCGATTTCAAGAGATTCTCCTGCCTCAGCCTCCCGAGTAGCTAGGATTACAGGCGCTGGCCACCACACCCAGCTAATTTTTGTGATTTTTAGTAGAGACAGGGTTTCACCATGTTGGCCAGGCTGGTCTCAAACTCCTGACCTCAGGTGACCCGCCCACCTCAATCTCCCAAAGTGCTGGGATTACAGGCATAAGCCACCATGCCCGGCCGAAACAGGATATTTCAGAGCAGACTCTTAGCACCTCAAATTATTTGCACTCACACCTATCATTTTTATCATTATAATGGTTAAGTGAGCCATCGCAGAGAAAAATTCGCTAAACAGACAATGGAGAATAAGGGCAACAAAAAATTCAACTTCTACCAGTAAGTACTTTCTTAACAACTACAAACAATATGTAGAAGAGTCAATCCAATAATTTACAATTGCCTCTTGGCAGAAAATGGATGAAATCAGGCTGAAAGAAATTTCAACTAATGTCTTTCAATAATAAGTAACACTAATAATTAAGTATTGTGTAACAAATTTTAGTCAAAGTAAAATATTGTTAGCCATAGTATAGGTGCATGGAACTTATATACGCAGACAAAAATACAGTGGTAAATACGGGAGACTTTAAAATCATCTAATTCAATATAGTATGAAGCACGAATTATGTCTGAAGTTTTATTTCTCACACTTTGAAAATTCTATAAATATCAGACAATTTCTTTTTTCTTTTCCTGAGACGGGGTCTCGCTGTGTTGCCCAAGCTGGAGGGCAGTGGCGCGATCTCAACTCACTGCAACCTCAGTCTCCCAAGTAGCTGGGATTACAGGTACCCGCCATCACGCCTGGCTAATTTTTCTATTTTTAATAGAGATAGGGTTTCACCATGTATGCCAGGCTGGTCTCGAACTCCTGATCTCAAATGATCCACCCGCCTCGGCTTCCCAAAGTGCTGGCATTACAGGAGTGAGCCACCGTGCCCCGCCAAGACAATTTCAACGCACATTTTGGAATTCCTGCCTATTTGTGGGCTAGACTTAATTGTACTGGTCACCTCACATGGCACAAGTTCTGGATTAGGTGCTGGGAGGATACAAAATGAACTTTAGTTCTCCACCCGCTAGCACAGAGTGTGCGTCCTTTCCCAACAGAGGAGAAAGCACTGCGGTGAAATGCCCCGTGAGGTAGAAGTCACTATAAGAAAGCTATTTCCGCACTGGCTCACTGATCTGGTTACAACGAAATTCGAGAGTAAGTAATCCTGAACAGCAATCTTATCCCCCTGAGCTTTAACAGACACTGGAGAAAGGAAAGGCCCAGTGGAGCTGGGTACTGAAATAAAGGAATATTTTTCCATAGCCCTATGTTTATTTTCTTTTTTTTTCCCCCTTGAGACAGGGTATTGCTCCAATGCCCAGGTTGGAGTACAGCGGCATGATCATAGCTCACTGCAGGCCTTGACCTCCTGGCCTCAAGCAATCCCCCGACTCGGCCTCCCCGGCAGGTGGAACTAGTTACACGAGATCACGCCTGGATTATTTTTTGTATTTTTTTTTGTAGAGACTACTTTTGTCTCTACAGCTACCCAGGCTGATCTTTAACTCCTGGGCGCAACTGATCCTCCTGCCTCGACCTCCCAAAGTGCTGCGATTACAGGTGTCAGCCATGGCACCCGGCCCATAGCCCTGTATTTCTGACTAAGCAATAAGTATCCTTCAATCCTTTCATCATCTCCATCTTCTTTTTCTTTTTAATTTTTTTTTTGAGACAGGGTCTTGATCTGTCACCCAGGCTGGAGTGCACTGGTGTGATTACAGATCACTGCAGCCTTGACCTCCTGGGCTCAAGTGATCCTCCCACCTCGACTTCCCGAGTAGCCAGGACTAGAGGAGTGTGCTATCAGGCCTGGATAATTTTTTTGTTTGTTTTCTGTAGAGACAGGGTCTCACTATGTTGCCCAGGCCAATCTTGAATTCCTGGTCTCCAGCGATCCTCCTGCCTCAGCCTCCCAAAGTGTTGGGACTGAAGGTATGAGCCACTGAGCCCAGCCCATCTTCACTATAAACACTTTTGCCCCCAAAACAGAAAATGTCCAAAGCAATCATTCAATTAAATACAACACACACACACACACACAAACACTAGAAACCTGGCCAGAGGTGATAAAGCTGGGCACAATCACCTCTCTCTTGTCCTGACTGCATCCAAAGGTTTCAGAAAAATGCTAAGCATTGCTTTGTCTCAGCTCACCTTCCTGAAAGCTGAGAATGTGATAACAAATTCGCTCATTTTAACAAAACGTTACTACTGCAAAAAAAAGTGATGTGTCAATTTAATAATTTAGCCGAATAATTTACCCGATTCCCTCTCCAATTTAAAGCATCAAATTACAATTTGTGTAAATAAAAATTAATATCTAGTAGGTTCCAGTTCTAGAAAGAGCATAATGATGGCCTAGCCCCACATCTTCCCACTCTAAAAACCAATACAGAGCAACAGGAATGAATGCCAACTGCATACACATACATGCACGTGCACACAGACGTATACACATCTCTCATTAGAAACGACATCTTCAGTGAAACCAGGGAACAGAGAAAACCCGCACATTCCAAGTTGTGTGAAAATGAAGCCCGAAACACCATAAATCAAGAACCCACAACAGTATAAGACAGAAGCAGCATGAATAATTTCAGTGTAAAAACTAAAACGGTGGCCGGGCACAGCGGTCCCCGCCTGTAATCCCAGCACTTCGGGAGGCAGAGGTGGGCAGATCACCTGAAGTCAGGAGTTTGAGACCAGCCTGGCCAACATGGTAAAACCCCATATCTATTAAAAATATAAAAAAATTAGCCGGTGGCCGGGCGCAGTGGCCCACGCCTATAATCCCAGCACTTCGGGAGGCAGAGGTGGGCAGATCACTTGAAGTCAGGAGTTCGAGACCAGCCTGGCCAACATGGTAAAACCCCATCTCTACTAAAAATATAAAAAATTTAGCCGGGCGTGGTGGTGGGCTCCTGTGGTCCCAGCTACTAGGCAAGCTGAGACAGGAGAACTGCTTGAACCCAAGAGGCAGAGGTTGCACTGAGCCGAGATTGCGCCATTGCACTCCACCCTGGGTGACAGAGAGACTCCGTCTCAAAAAAAGAAAAAAGAAAAAAAAAAGATCTCTAAGCATATACAAGTATATGGGATTATCTCTAGGCCAAAAAAAAATTTTTTTGTTGTTTTTTGAGATGGAGTCTCACTCTGTCACCCAGGCTGGAGTGTAGTGGCACAGCCCTGGCTCACTGCAGCCTCTTTCTCCCAGGCTCAAGTGATCCTCTCACCTCAGCCTCCCGGGTGGCTAGGACTGCAGGTGTACACCACCACGCCTGGCTAATTTTCTGTATTTTTGGTAGAGACAGGGTTTCGTCATGTTGCCCAGGCTGGTCTTAAACTCCTGAGCTCAAGCGATCTGCCAAGCTTGGCCTCCCAAAGTGTCGGGATTACAGGCGGGGGCCACCACACCTGGCCAGAAAACTTTAAAAAAACAGGATATGGCTGGGCGCAGCGCTCACGCCTGTAATCCTAGCACTTTGGGAGACTGAAGTGGGAGAATCGCTTGAGCCCAGGAGTTTGAGACCAGCCTGAACAGCATAGTGAGGTCTCATCTCTATTAAAATAATAATAAATAAGTAAAAGCAGGAGAAAAAGACACGATAGTGTACACAGTATGCTGCCTTTTGTGTAGGCAAAGTGGAGTACGGAACGAGAATATATATTTGTATTTGGTTACATTCTCATGAAGAAACGCCTGAAGGATAAAAAGAAACCACGAAAACTTTACCTCTAGAGGGCAGCAGTGGGTGGCAGGGGCGGCAAGGGTAGGAGTAAGATTTCTCTGCACACACAATTCGGTAGCTATAACTTTAAATCATGTAACTACATTATCTTTTTGAAATCATTTAACCATATTATCTATTCAAGATTAATGTTTATTAAAGAAAACAGATGTCTGATTATCTCAGTTATATTTTACATTTATTTAATTATGCAAGTTTTAATGGACAAATATATAAATGTGAAATAGAGATAATTTTAATTATGTATATAACATTCCCGCAGTAGACTCACTCACACGATCTATGTACTTAAATACAATTTTCAAGTAGGCAAAAACTTTGGTATGAAGGTTAATCTTTGAAGGTCCGGGCACAATGGAAACTGTTCTCACTGGGAAATGACAAATGCTCATTCTCATTTCTTGTAGCAACCCATTGTGTGACCTTGGGGAAGTTACTTCACTGCCTCATTCACGTTTTTATTTAATGATTAAAAACTGATCAACTGATCTCTACAACAGTTTCCTCTACCTCAACATTCTGCGATTGTGCTGAATTCACTGCTAAGGTCCAGACCTGAGATTCTCCAACTTTCCTTTCCTTTCCATTATCTCACTTAGGCAAAGGCCAGGACTCAGTTCCAGGTAGGAAAACGAAGACAGGATGCAAGAATTACTTCCCACCTCAGCTTTCCCAGTAGCTGGGAGCGTGAACCACCACGCCCAACTAATTTGTTTTTATTTTATTTTTTTGAGACAAGTCTCACTCTGTCGCCCAGGCTGGAGTGCAATGGCACAATCTCGGCTCACTGCAACTTCCACCTCCCGGGCTCAAGTGATTCTCCTGCCTCAGCCTCCCGAGTAGCTGGGATTACAGGTGCCCGCCACCACACTCGGCTAATTTTTTTTATTTTTAGTAGAGACGGCGTTTCACCATGTTGGCCAGGCTGGTCTTGAACTCCTGACCTCAGGTGATCCACCTAAGGTCCAGCCTAAGAATTACTGGGTTCAATTCCACTTACCCTTAAGTGAAAACCCTACTAATAGTAAAAGTTAGTTATGGACTAATTGAAGAACTATGTTGTTAAAGTTATTTTTATTTATTTATTTTTGAGACAGAGTTTCACTCTTGTTGTCCAGGCTGGAGTACAATGGTGCAATCTCAGCTCACTGCAACCTCCGATTCCCAGGTTCAAGCGATTCTCCTGCCTCAGCCTCCCTAGTAGCTGGGAATACAGGCGCGTGCCACTATGCCCAGCTAATTTTTTTGTATTTTTAGTAGAGACGAGGTTTCACCATGTTGGCCAGGCTGGTCTCAAACTCCTGACCTCAGGTGATTCGCCCACCTCAGCCTCCCAAAGTGCTGGGATTACAGGCATGGGCCACTATGCCCCGCATATATTGGTAAATTTAAATTAAGACAGTGAATTAGTGTACTTCAGTGGGAACCAGCTAAGCACCTTTGTCTATTGGGAGCAGCAGAGACAGTTTAATTTTTAAGAAACAGCTCCTTCTCTGAGTTCAAACATAGCTTCCTACTGAGAAATCATTTGGGAAGGAGGAGATACACAGCGGAAGATTTCAAATAAGCCACATGAACATCTTCCAGCTTCTTGATGCTGACCAGCTTAAAGTCGATTTTATATTTTCAATGTCACAGTTATAATTAGTTAATATATGTACTTAATTAGTTATATGTTATTAAAATTATTCAATACACTCTGAACATTTCTTTTCTATAAATTATATCACAAATTTTTTTCCAAATATTCATGATTGACCATCATCTCTTAGTGACTTCAGATTTAGTTCAAAAATTGGCTGATTAGTAAAACAATAAAATTATGTTGTTCTGATTACTAAAAATATCTGAAAACATAACAACCATTTGAAAATTGCCTTCTACAAGTATGTTTTGAAAACTTTAAATTTTTAATAAAGCAAGATATGTTTCATAGAAAAACTTCAATCTGACTGGCCATTTAAATTTTGATGTCGGCCCCCTGCAGGGGCTCACGTTCGTAATCCCAGCACATTGGGAGACCGAGGCAGGTGGATTACCTGAACTCAGGAGCTCAAGACCAGCCTGGACAACATGGCAAAACTCTGTTTCTACAAAAAAATATAAAAAGTAGTTGGGGCCAGGCACGGTGGCTCACACCTGTAATCCCAACACTTTGGGAGGCCAAGGTGGGTGGATCACCTGAGGTCAGGAGTTCGAGACCAGCCTGGCCAACGTGGTGAAACGCCGTCTCTACTAAAAATAAAAAAAATTAGCTGAGTGTGGTGGCGGGCACCTGTAATCCCAGCTACTCGGGAGGCTGAGGCAGGAGAATCGCTTGAGCCCGGGAGGTGGAGGTTGCAGTGAGCCGAGATTGTGCCATTGCACTCCAGCCTGGGTGACAGAGTGAGACTCGTCTCAAAAAAATAAAATAAAATAAAATAAAATAAAATAAAATAAAATAAATTAGTTGGGCGTGGTGGTTCACGCTCCCAGCTACTGGGAAAGCTGAGGTGGGAAGATCACTTGAGCCTGGGAGGTTGAGGCTACAGTAAGCCCTTTTTGAGCCACTGCACTCCAGCCTGGATGGCAAAGCAAGAACCTGTCTCCAAATAACTAAATAAATAAATCTTGGCCGGGCACGGTGGCTCACGCCTGTAATCCCAACACTTTGGGAGGCTGAGGCAGGCAGATCACCTGAGGTCAGCAGTTCGAGACTAGCCTGGCCAACATGGTGAAACTTCGTCTCTACTAAAAATACAAAAATTAGCTGGGCGTGGTGGCGGGCACTTGTAATCCCAGCTACTTGGGAGCCTGAGGCAGGAGAATCACTTGAACCCGGGGGAGGTTGCAGTGAGCGGAGATCGTTCCAGTGCACTCCAGCCTGGGCAACAAAGCAAAACTTCATCTCAAAAAAAAAAAAAAAAAAAAAAGCTGGGCACAGTGACTCACGCCAATAATCTTAGCACTTTAGGAGGTCAAGGTGGGCGGATCACTTGAGGTCAGGGGATCGAGACCAACCTGGCCAACATGGTGAAACCCCATCTCTACTAAAAATACAAAAATTAGCTGGGCATGGTGGTGTGTGCCTGTAATCCCAGCTACTGGTGAGGCTGAGGCATGAGGATAGCTTGAACTGGGAGGTGGAGGTTGCAGTGAGCCAAGATCATGCAACTGCACTCCAGCCTGGGCAACAAAGTGAGACTCCATCTCAAATAAATAAATAAATAAATAAATATTGAGCTAATCGATATTAACATCTACTTCTTCCATGTGGACAGCAGGGACAAGAGAGGTATAAGAGAGCTACATTCTAAGCTGGGCGCTGTGGCTCACACCTGTAATCCTGGCACTTTGGGAGGCTCAGGTGGGCGGATTGCTTGAGCCCAGGAGTTCAAGACCAGCCTGGACAACATAGACTCCATCGCTACAAAAAAAAAAAAAAAAAAAAAAAAATACGGTTGGGGGCGGTGGCTCACGCCTGTAATCCCAGCACTTTGGGAGGCTGAGGCGGGCAGATCACGAGGTCAGGAGATGGAGACCATCCTGGCTAACACAGTGAAACCCCGTCTCTACTGAAAATACAAAAAAAATCACCCGGGCATGGTGGTGGGTGCCTGTAGTCCCAGCTACTCAAGCAGGAGAATGGCGTGAATCCGGGAGGTGGAGCTTGCAGTCAACCGAGACCGCGCCACTGCACTCCAGCCTGGGCGACACAGTGAGACTCCGTCTCAAAAAATAAAAAAATAAAAACAAAAATTAGCAGGGTGCAGTGGTGCACGCCTGTAATCCCAGCTACTGAGGAGGCTGAGGCAAGGAGGATTGCTTGAGTCCAGGAGGCGGAGGTTGCAGTGAGCCAAGATCACGCCACTGGACTCCAGCCTGGGTGACAGTGTGAGACTCTTAAAAAAGAAAAAAAAAAAAGAGAGAGCACCACATTCTAATCTCCCATAGCGTGAAGTTAATAAACAAATGTTTCAACTGAAAAAATTAACGAAGAGCAGCACAAATGTGTTATTTAGAAATATGGAGACAAACAGAGAAGAAACAGCTGTGAGATTTGAAACAGACTGTCTCTAGACAGGAGTCAGAGGCCAAAGAAAAGTGAGGCAGGAGAATGCTGTTTTGTTTTTAAGGACACACCTCGCAAAAATATTCAACTTTTAAAACTACGTACCGGACAAATGGAGCAACAGAGACCAGGTTCACCCTAACACCTAACATAACCCCCTCCCCCCACCAGAAAGGGAGAAAATACGTGAGACGCATGGTTTTCAATGAGGGGTAGCGCCTGCTGTGCACAGGAAAGCGAGCGAGTGGGTCTGCACCAGCTCAGTGCCTCAAGGGCTTAGGGGGCCTGCCAGAACCCGAGGTGCAGAAATGGGGGCCGAGAGTCTGGGGAGATCGCCGTCTAGCTGGCCGGACAGAGTAGCAGAGAAGAGAGGGCTGTACACAGAGAACTCCAGAAATGGGTGGCAGGTTTCCTGGGTAGTCAGCAGAGTCCTGGTTGGCCCGTGTGTGTGTGTGGACACGATCTGAGGCCAGGGTGAGAATCATCTGAGAAGGCCAGAGGGAACCATGCCTGTGTTTACAGCAAGCTTGAAATAGTACCTGTTTCTACCAGTCAGATGGGAAAAATTCATATTCATGGGGCACGAGGTAGAACAGTCTGTCAGGTCTCGATTCAGTATTGGGAATAACTACACCTAGACTAAATGCAGCTCTCTGATTCTCTAATAAATCTTAAAAGCAACACACCAAAAGATCAAACTGTCTCCAAGTTAACTGTATCCCTGAAAAAAGCTCAAGAATAATTACAGGATTACAAAAGTTTCTAGCACCCAACGAGGTACGAATCCCAATGTCTGGCATTCGGTCCGAGGGCCAGGCATGAAAAGCAGCAGGAAAATATGATCCATGATCGGAGAGGCCGGGATCAACTGACGGAAACAAATCCGGACCTAACACAGACACCAGAATCCACAGACAAGGACCTTACAACAAATACTGTCATTGTGCTCTGTATGTCCCAAAAATTAAGCAGAGATGTAGATGAGTTTTTAAAGACCCAAAATCAAGCTTCTAGGGATAAAAACTATACTATCTGAGAAGAAAAATACACTCAATGGGATTAACAGCAGATTAGGCACTGCCTGAGAAACCATTAGTGAACTTGAACGGCTAGCAATAGAAAGTATACACAATGGCCAGGCACAGTAGCTTATGCCTGTAATTCAGCCTTTTGAGAGGCTAAGGCAGGAGGATTGAGGCCAGGAGTTTGAGACCAGCCTGGGCAACAAAGTGAGACCCCGCCCCTACAAATAAAAAGAAAAGAAATGAGCCGGGCGTGGTGGCACTGCCGTCCCAGCCCCAGTCCAGGCAGTCCACAGGCAGGCCCGGCACTCCACCTCCCAGACTACAGGTGCAGCCTGCAGTCCCAACTACTTGGGAGGCTGAGGCAGGAGGATTGCTGGAGGCCAGGAATTCAAGACCAGTGTGGGCAACATGGCAGGACTCCATGTCCACAAAAAATAAAATTAGGCCAATTATGGTGGCTCACGCCTTTAACCCCAGCACTTTGGGAGGCTGAGGCGGGCAGATCATGACGTCAAGAGATGGAGACCATCCTGGCCAACATGGTGAAACCCTATCTCTACTAAAAATACAAAAATCAGCTGAGCATGGTGATGCGTGCCTGTAGCCCTAGCTACTCAGGAGGCTGAGGCAGGAGAATCGCTTGAACCTGGGAGGCGGAGGTTGCAGTGAGCCGAGATCACGCCACTGCACTCCAGCCTGGCAACAGAGTGAGACTTCGTCTCAAAAATAAATAAATAAATAAAAAACAAAATAAAATTAGCTGGGCGTGGTGGCACATGCCTGTAGTCCCAGCTACTCAGGAGGCGGAGGTGGGAGGATTGCTTGAGCCCAAGGTGTTGAGGCTGCACTGAGCCGTGAATGTACCACTGTACTCCAGCCTGGGCAACAGAGCAAGATGTTGTCTCTAGGAGAGAAAAAACAAAACAAAACAAAAAAAACGCCAAAGTGGCTATGCTAATATCAAAGCAGACTTCAAAGCACAGAATTTCCCAGGGATAAAATCATTTCATAATAATAAGAGTCAACTCATCAAGTGGACACAAGAATTCTAAATTATATAGATATTTAATAATACAGCTTTGAAATACATGAAGCAAAAACTAATAGAACTGCAGAGAGACAGAGAAACTTACAATTATTACAGTTAGAGATTTCAATATCCCTCTCAGTAAATGACAGAACAAGTAAACAGAAAAACAGTAAAGATATAGAAAAACTGAATAACACAATTTACCGACTCGACCTAATTGACATTTGTAAGACTCTGCCCAACAACAGAATACACATTCTTTTCAAGTACACACAGAATTTACCAAGAGAGACCATAATCTGGACATAAAATAAGACTCAAGGCTGGGGAAGGTGGGTCACTCCTGTAATCCCAGCACTTTGGGAGGCCAAGGCAGGCAGATCATCCGAGGTCAGGAGTTTGACACCAGCCTGGCTAACACGGCAAAACCCTGTCTTTACTAAAAATACAAAAATTAGCCAGGCATGGTGGCAGGCACCTGTAGTCCTAGCTACCTGGGAGGCTGAGATAGGAGAATCGCTTGAACCTGGGAGGTGGAGATTGCAGTGAGCCAAGATCATGCCACTGCACTCCAGCCTGGGTGAAAGAGTGAGTCTCTGTCTCAAAAAAAAAAAAAAAATAAAATAAAAATAAATAAATAAAATAAAACAAAATAAGACAATACATTTAACAGGATTCAAGTCATACAAAGTATGTTGTTTGATCATACTAGAATTAAATTAGATATCAAGAACAAGATCTCTAGAAAATACCCACATTTGGCTGGCACGATGGCTCATGTCTGTAATTCCAGCACTTTGGGAGGCTGAGGCACGCAGATCACTTGAGGGCAGGAGTTCAAGACCAGCCTGGCCAACATGGCAAAACCGCGTCTCTACTAAAAATATAAAAAATTAGCCAGGCATGGTGGCACACACCAATAGTCCCAGCTACTCAGGAGGCTGATGTGGGAGGATCGCTTGAACCCGGGAGGCGGAGGCTGCAGTGAGCCGAGATTGTGCCACTGCACTCTAGCCTGGGTGACAGAGCAAGACTCTGTCTCAAAAAAAAAAAGAAAAAGAGAGACCAGAACCCAAGATGGCTGCGCTGTTGCTGAGACACGTTGGTCGTCATTGCCTCCGAGCCCACTTTAGCCCTCAGCTCTGTATCAGAAATTGGTCTCTTCCCATGGCGATGTCCATCTGCCACCGTGGCACTGGTATTGCTTTGAGTGCAGGGGTCTCTCTTTTTGGCATGTCGGCCGTGTTACTCCCTGGGAACTTTGAGTCTTATTTGGAACTTGTGAAGTCCCTGTGTCTGGGGCCAGCACTGATCCACACAGCTAAGTTTGCACTCGTCTTCCCTCTCATGTATCATACCTGGAATGGGATCCGACACTTGATGTGGAACCTAGGAAAAGGCCTGAAGATTCCCCAGCTATACCAGTCTGGAGTGGTTGTCCTGGTTCTTACTGTGTTGTCCTCTATGGGGCTGGCAGCCATGTGAAGAAAGGAGGCTCCCAGCATCATCTTCCTACACATTATTACATTCACCCATCTTTCTGTTTGTCATTCTTATCTCCAGCCTGGGAAAAGTTCTCCTTATTTGTTTAGATCCTTTTGTATTTTCAGATCTCCTTGGAGCAGTAGAGTACCTGGTAGACCTTAATAGTGGAAAACGGTCTAGTTTTCCCCTTGTTTCTAAAGATGAGGTGGCTGCAAAAACTCCCCTTTTTTGCCCACAGCTTGCCTACTCTCGGCCTAGAAGCAGTTATTCTCTCTCCATATTGGGCTTTGATTTGTGCTGAGGGTCAGCTTTTGGCTCCTTCTTCCTGAGACAGTGGAAACAATGCCAGCTCTGTGGCTTCTGCCCTGGGGACGGGCCGGGTGGGGGGTGGGTTGGTGAGGCTTTGGGTGCCACTACCTGTGGGTTGCTGGCTTAAAGGACAATTCTCTTCATTGGTGAGAGCCCAGGCCATTAACACCTACACAGTGTTATTGAAAGAAGAGAGGTGGGGGTGGAGGGGAATTAGTCTGTCCCAGCTAGAGGGAGATAAAGAGGGCTAGTTAGTTCTTGGAGCAGCTGCTTTTGAGGAGAAAATATATAGCTTTGGACACGAGGAAGATCCAGAAAATTATCATTGAACATATTAATGGTTATTTCTTTTTCTTGGATTTCCAGAAAAGCCTCTTAATTTTATGCTTTCTCATCGAAGTAATGTACCCTTTTTTTCTGAAACTGAATTAAATACTCATTTTATCTTTGAAAAAAAAAAAAGAAAAAGAAAAAGAAAAAAAGAGAAAATCCCCACATTTAAAAACTAAACACATTTCTAAATAACAGAATGTTAATGATGAAATTGAAAGGGAAATAAGAAAGTATTATGAATTGAATATGAATGAGAATATAACATATCCAAATTTGCTGGATACTTTTAAAGCAGTAGCTAAGGGCAGATTTATAATGCTACATGCCTATGTTAGAAAAAAAGATCTCAAGTCAATGAACTCAGCTTCCACCTTAAGAAACGAGAAAAAAATATACAAAACCCGAAGTAAGTAGAAGAAAATAAAGATAAAAAGCATAAATCAATAGAATACAAAACATAAGAGAAAATCAATAAAACCAAAAGTTGCTCCTTTGAGATCAATAAGATTGATGAAACTCTCAAATTCTACAGACACTCAAAGGATAACAAGGAAACATATATGTATGTTATATAATATATATATATGCTATAATTCCAGCACTTTGGGAGGCTGAGGCAGGCAGATCACTTGAGGGCAGGAGTTCGAGACCAGCCTGGCCAACATGGCAAAATCCTGTCTCTACTAAAAATATAAAAAATTAAATAAAAAAAGTAAATTAAAAAAGTAAAAATTAAATAAAAATAAAAATTAAATAAATAAATAAAAACTATATATAGTTTCGTTTTGTTTTGTTTTGAGACAGAGTCTCATTCTGTCGGCCCAGCTGGAGTGCCCGTGGCATGATCTCAGCTCACTGCAACCTTCGCCTCCCGGGTTCAAGTGATTCTCCTGCCTCAGCCTCACGAGTGGCTGGGACTACAGGTGCGTGCCACCACGCCTAGATAATCTTTGTATTTTTTCAGTAGAGACAAGGTTTCACCATATTGGCCAGGCTGGTCTCCAACTCCTGACCTCGTGATCCGCCCGCCTCAGCTTCCCCAAAAGTTTTGGGATTATGGGCGTGAGCCACAGCACCTGGCATTTTTTTTTTTTTTTATGGGGTCTCACTCTGTCACCCAGGCTAGAGTGCACTGGTGCCATCTCGGCTTACTGCAACCTCCACCTCCCGGGCTCAGGTAGCTGGGACCACAGGTGCAGGAGCGCCACCACATCCAGCTAATTTTTTGTATTTTTGGTAGAGACTGGGTTTTATCATGTTGCGCAGGCTGGTCTTGAACTCCCAAGCGCAAGCGATCGGCTTGCCTCGTTCTCCCAAGGTGTTGGGATTACAAGTGTGAGCCACTGCACCCAGCTGGAAATATATTTTTTAAATCCATCTGATAATTTCTAATAATTGGGGTGTTTAGAATATTTATATTTCTATAGACTAATAAATTCAAGAACTTAAATGAAATTAAATTCCTTGAAGCACATAATCTACCAAAGTCTACTCAAGAAGGGTGCTTGAATAACCCTGTATCTCTCTATTAAAGAAACTGAACTTACAGTTTAAGACTTTTCCATTAAAAAAAAAAAATCAGGCCCAGATGACTTCACTGGTGAATTCAACTGAACATCTAAGGAAGAAGTACCAAGTCTACATAAACTGCTGCAGAAAATTTAAGAACGGAACACACTTCCCAACTTATTCCATAAGGCCAGGGTTACTCAGGTATCAAAATCAGAGATGTAACAATAGAAGAAAACTAAAGAAAAATATCTCTCGTGAATACCGATACAACAATTCTAAACAAAGTAAATCAGATCAAAGGGATATAGCAAATCAAATCCAACAATATGTAAAAAGAATAATACATCATGACATAGACTTATCCCAGAGATCCCAGATTGGTTTAGCGCTCAAAAACCAATCAACGTGGCTGAGCGCAATGTAATCCCAGCACTTTGGGAGGCCCAGGCGGGTGGACCACTTGAGGTCAGGAGTTCGAGACCAGCCTGGCCAACATGGCAAAACCCTGTCTCTACTAAACACACACACACACACACACACACACACACACACAATTTTAGCCGGGTGTGGTGTCATACACCTGTAATCCCAGCTACTCTGAGGCTGAGGCACGAGAATCACTTGAACCCGGGAGGCGGAGGTTGCAGTGAGCCTAGAAGGCACCACTGCACTCCAGCCTGGGTCATGCAATGAGACTGTCTCAAAAAAAAAAATCAATCAATGTAACTCACCATATTAACTAACAAAGAAAACCATATGATCATCAGATCATCAGCAAGCACAGAAAATGCATTTGACAAAACTCACCATCCATTTCTGATGAAAGCCCTCACCAACTAGGAACAGAAATAAACTTCTTTACTTCTGATAAAAAGACTCTAAGAAAACCCTACAGTTAACATGACATTTAATGGTGAAAGTCTGAACGCTTTCTCCCTGAGATCAGGAACAAGACAAAGATAACGAGCCAGGCTGGAGATGTTTTCTAATGTATTAGCCATTTGTTTTCCTTCTATAGTGAACCATCTATTTTTCTCCAATGCCTGCTTTGCTAATGAAGTACTTTATTCCTTAATATGTAAAAAAATTCAATAAATAGTAAAGATAGTAACCCTTTGTCAATCCTATGAGTTGCAA